>NC_000003.12:142190422-142493452 GCF_000001405.40 Homo sapiens
GGTCCTAGGGCAATGGCCCATATTTGGGCTTTCAGAAAAAAAGATAAGGAGAATGGAGCAGAAATTACATTTGAAGAGATAACACCTGAGCATTTTTCAAAATCAACGAAGACCTCAAGCAACAAATTCAAAAAGCCCTACAAACCCCAAGTAGCTTGCATAAAACACACTAAACCTAGATAATAAGCACAGAAAATATGTTTGATAAATTCAATAACCATTCATAATAAAAAGTGTCAGCAAACTTAGCAAAGAAAGGGAACTTCCTTAATTTGATAAAGTACAAAGGATAGCACCCCAAAGCCAAATTCATACTAAGTAAAGAAATGTTGAAAGCCTTTGGTCCAAGATCAGAAACAAGAAAAAGAATTAATGATCCCTCCTTCTAATCAACATATCCTGGAGGTCCTTGCCAATGAAAAAGAAAAAAAGTGTTAAACCAGCAGAAAAAAAATCTAGTCATTTGCAAAAGACATAACTGTATACACAGAAACATCCTTTGCAAAAAAAGCTATTAGATAAGTTACTAGAATAACTAAGTGAATTCAGTAACATTACTGGATTAAAGGTCAATTCACAAAAAGTAACTATATTTCTAAAGACCAGCCAAAAAGAAGTATAAATAATTTTTTTTTTTTGAGACAGAGTCTGGCCATGTCACCCAGGCTGGAGTACAGTGGTGCAGTCTCAGCTCTCTGCAACCTCCACCTCCCCGGTTCAAAAGATTCTTCTGCCTCAGCCTCCCAAGTAGCTGGGACTACAGGTGCGTGGTAATTTTTGTATTTTTAGTAGAGACAGGGTTTCACCATATTGGCCAGACTGGTCTTGAACTCCTGACCTCGTGATCCGCCCACCTCGGCCTCCCAAAGTGCTGGGATTACAGGCATGAGCCACTGCGCCCGGCAAGAAGTATAATAATTTAAAGGACTAGTTAAAATAGCTACAAAAGATATCAATTGCCTAACAATAAGTCTACACATTAAAAAAAAACTTTAAGTGGGGCTAGGTGCGATAGCTCACACCTGTAGCCCAGCACTTTGGGAGGCCAAGGTGGCAGGATCACTTGAGCTCAAGAGTTTGAGGACAGCCTGGGAAACAGCGACACTCTATCTCTATTAAAAGTGAAAAAATTTGGCTGGGCGCTGTGTCTCTTGCCTGTAATCCCAGTACTTTGGGAGGCCGAGGCAGGTGGATCACTTGAAGTTAGAAGTTCAAGACCAGTCTGGCCAATATGGTGAAACCCCATCTCTACTAAAAATACAAAAATTAGCCTCCTATAATCCCAGCTACTTGGAAGGCTGAGGCAGGAGAATCACTTGAACCCAGGAAGTAGAGGTTGCAGTGAGCCGAGATGATGCCAATGCACTCAACCTGGGTGACAGAGTGAGACTCTGTCTCTAAATAAATAAATAAATAGTGAAAACATTAGCCGGGCATGGTGGCACACGCCTGTAGTCCCAGTTACTCAGGAGGCTGGGGCAGGAAGCTCACTTGAGCCCATGAGTTTTGAGGCTATAATGAGCCACGATCATGCCACTGCACCCCAGCCTGGGTGACAGAGCAAGAATCTGTCTCAAAACAAACAAACAAAAATTTTTTTAATGGCAAAAGATCTGAACAGACACCTCACCCAAGATATACTGATGGTAAATAAGCACATGAAAATATGCTCTGTATCACAAGGCATTAGGGAACTGCAAACAATGAATATTACTACACACCTATTGAAACAATAAGATACTACTACACACCTATTAAAATAGCTAAAATCCAAAGCACTGACAACAGCAAATGTTGGCAAGGATACGGAGCAAGAGGAACTCTCCAACTGTTGGTGGGAATACAAAATGACACAGCTACTTTGGAGGATAGCTTGATAGTTCCTTACAAAACTAAATGCAGTCTTACCATATGATCCAACAATCATACACCTATTTACTCAAATGAGTTGAAGATTTATGTCCAAATAAAAACCTGCACCCAAAAGTGTATAGCAGTTTTATTCATAATTGCCAAAAACTGGAAGTAACCAAGATGTTTTTCAATAGGTAACTGGATAGGCCAGGCACGGTGGCTCATGCTTGTAATTCCAGCAGTTTGGGAGGCCAAGGCAGGTGGATCACTTAAGGTCGGGAGGTCGAGAGCAGCCTGGCCAACATGATGAAATCCCGTCTCTACTAAAAATACAAAAATTAACTGGGCATGGTGGCAGGCACCTGTAATCTCAGCTACTTGGGAGGCTGAAGCAGGAGAATTGCTTGGACCTGGGAGGTAGAGGTTGCAGTGAGCTGAGATCATGCCACTGCACTCCAGCCTGGGCGACAGAGTGAGACTCTGTCTCAAAAAAAAAAAAAAAAATGTGATTGGATAAACTGTGCCACATTCAGACAATGGAATATTATTAGGTGATAAAAAGAAATGAGCTAACAAGGCACAAAAATACATGGAGAAACCTTAAATGCATATTGCTAAGTGAAAGAAGCCAGTCTGTAAAGTCTATATACTATATGATTCCAACTATATGATATTCTGGAAAATACAAAGCTAGAGACAATAAAAATATCAGTGTTACCCAGGGTTCAGAAAGAGATGTGAGTAGGTGAAGGACAGGGGATTTTTCAGGACAGTGAAACTACAGTGTATAATAGTACTGCAATGGTAGATACATTACATTAATAATAATGTTTCCATATTGGTTCATTAATTGTAACAGATGTACCACCGTAATACAAGATGCTAATAACAGCAGAAACTGTTGGGGAGTAAGGGCATATGGAAACTATATTTACTGCTGAATGTTTCTGTAAACCTAAAACTACTCTAAAATTAAAGTGTATTAATTTTTTAGAAAACAAAGGACTGAGGTACTTCACAAAAGGATATACAAATGGTAAGTATGTGAAAAGATATCAATTTTGTTAGGAAATAGAGTAATGCAAATTAAAGCCACAATGAAATTGAGAAGTGTGAGTTTTCCCATACTGTTCCTTTTTCAAGATTCTTTTGCTAATCTGGGTTCCTCAAATTTCTATGTGAATTTTAGGATCAGCTTGTCTGCTACAAAAAAAAAAAAACAAAAAAAAAAGCAGAAATTTTGGTAGAAATTGTGTTGTACCTGTAGATAAATTCGAAGAATACTATAATCTTAACAGTATTAAATATTCCAATCCATGTATATAAGATGTCTTTCCATTTATTTAGGCCTTCATTAACTGTATTCAACAATGTTTTGTACTTTTCAAAGTATATATTTTGTAGTTAAGCTTATTCATACGTATTTTATTCTTTTTGATGTTTTTGTAAATGAAACTGTTTTCTTTCTTTTTTGTGTGTGGGTAGACAGCATCTCGCTCTGTTGCCCAGGCTGGAGTGCAATGGTGTGATCTCAGCTCACTGCAACCTCTGCCTCCCCAGTTCAAGTGATTCTCCTGCCTCAGCCTCCCACATAGCTGGGATTACAGGAGTCCACCACTATGTCTGGCTAATTTTTGTATTTTTAGTAGAGACGGGGTTTCACCATGTTGGCCAGGCTGGTCTCGAAATCCTGATCTCAGGTGATCCACCCCCCTCGGCCTCCCAAAGTGCTGGGATTACAGGCATGAGCCACTGCGTCCAGCCAAAATTGTTTTCTTAATTTCACTTTCTAGTGTTCATTGCTAGTATATAGAAACACGATTTTTAGCTGTGTGCGGCGGGTCACACCTGTAATCCCAGCACTTTGGAAGGCTGGGGTGGGAAGATTACTTGAGCCCAGGAGTTCAAGAGCAGCTAGGACAAAATAGTGAGACCTTGTTTCTACAAAAAATTTAAAAATTAACTGGGGCCAGGCACGGTGACTCACACCTGTAATCCCAGCACTTTGGAAGGTCGAGGCGGGCAGATCACTTAATGTCAGGAGTTCGAGACCAGCCTGGCCAACATGGCGAAACCCCGTCTCTACTAAAAATACAAAAGTTAGCTGGGCGTTGTGGCGCACGCCTGTAGTCCCAACTACTTGGGAGGCTGAGGCAGGAGAATCACTTGAGCCTGGGACGCAGAGGTTACAGTAAACCAAGATCATGCCACTGCACTCCCTACTGGATGACAGAGTAAGACTCCATCTCGAAAAAAAAAAAAAAAATTAACTGGGCATGGTGGTGTGCGCCTGTAGTCCCAGCTACTCTGGCGGCTGAAGTAAGAGGATCTCTTGAGCCTGGAGGTTGAGACTACAGTGAGCTGCGATCATGCCACTGTACTCAAGCCTGGGTGACAGACTCTGTGTCAAAAAAGAAAATTTTTTTTTTTGTATATTGATCTTATACTCTCCCACCTTACTAAACTCATTTATAATATTAGTGCTAATTTTTTTAGGAAATTCCTTAGGATTTTCAATATACAAGATCATGTCATCTGCATCATAGAGATAGTTTTACTCCTTCCTTTCCAATCTAGTTGCCTTTTATTACATTGTCATGCTCAACTGCCCTGGCTTAGAACCTCCCATACAATGTTAATTACAAGTGGTGAGAGTGGAAATCTTTGTCTTGTTCCCGAACTTAGGAGAAAAACATTCAGTTTTCAACTATTAAGTATGGTGTCGGCTGTGGGTTTTTCAAAGATCAGGTTGAAGGAGTTTCCTTCTATTCCTAGTACGTTGAGCATTTTATCATGAAGAGGGGCTAGATATTGTCAAATGCTTTTTTCTATATCTACTGACATGATCATGTGTTTTTTTGTCCTTTATTCTATTAATATGGTGTATATTAATTTTCTATTTTTTTACATTTACCAGTTTTTATAAAAGATCCATATTAATTGATTTTTTGAATGGTAAACCAATCCTGTATTCTTGGGATAAATCCCACTTAGTCATGATATATAATCCTTTTTATATGTTGCTGGATTTGACTTGCTAATATTTTGTTGAAGTTTTGTGTGTGTGTGTGGTTTCTTTCCAGAGACAGGGTCTTGCTCTGTCATCCAGGCTGGAGTGCAGTGGTGGTGTGATCCTGGATCATTGCTGTCTCAAACTCCTGGGCTCAAGCAATCCTCCCACCCCAGTCTCCCAAGTAGCTGGGACTACAGGTGTGTACTACTATACCCAGCTAATTTTTTAATTTTTAATTTTTTTGGAGAGATGGTGTCTTGCTATATTGCCCAGGCTGGTCTTGAACTCCTGGGCTCAAGCAATACTCTTGCCTTAGACTCCCAAAGTGCTGGGATTACAGGCATGAGCCACCACACCCAGCCTTGTTGAGGATTTTTGCATTTGTATTCATAAGGAATATTGGTCTATCAGTTTCTTTTCTCTTGATGTCTTTGATCTGGTTATCAGGGAATACTGGCCTAAAAGAAAGAGCTGGGAAGTATCTCTCACTCCAATAATGGAAGTATAATCCACTCCAATAATGGAAGTATAGTGGGGTATTAAAGTCTCCAACTATTACTATTCAATTGTCTATTTTCCCCTTCTATTTTTTGGAAGAATTTGTGAAAGGATTGTGTTAATTCTTCTTTAAACTTTTGGTAGAATTCACTAGTAAAGCCATCTGGCTCTGGGCTTTTCTAGGTGAGAATTTATTATTTATTACTTCAATCTCTTTACTTGTTATAGATTTATTCAGATTATTTATTTCTCCTCGAGTTATTTCCAGTAGTTTGTGTATTTCTAGGAAATTTTTCATTTTATCTTGTTATCTAATTTGTTGGCATGCACTTGTTCATGGTATTGCCTATTAATCCTTTTTATTTCTGTGAGGTCAGTATTAATATCCATAATTTCATAATAATTCATAATTTTAGTTATTTGGGTTTTCTCTCGTCTTTGTCAGTTTAGCTAATCTTTTCAAAGAAGCAACTTTCGGTTTTATTGATTTTCTTCACTGTTTTTCTATTCTCTATTATATTAATTTTGTTCTAATTCCATTATTTCTTTCCTTCTGCTTGTTTTGAATTTAGTTTGCTCATCTTTTTCCATGTCGTAAGGTAGAATGGTAGACTATTGACGTGATATTTTGCTTCTTTTTAAATATACTCTTCTACATGTAATATCATTTTGCTATAAATTTCCTTCTAAGTACTTTATCTGCATCTAATAAGTTTTGGTATGTTGTATCTTATTTTCATTCATCTCAAAGTATTTCTTAATTTCTCTTATGATTTCTCCTTGGACCCTTTGGTTATTTTTAAGTGTGTTGTTTAATCTTCATATATTTTTGAATTTCCCAAGTTTTTTCTGTTACTTTTAATTCGAAGCCTTTATGGTCAGACAACAGACTTCGTATAATTTCAACCCCTTTAAATTTATTGAGGCTTGTAGTATGGCCTAGCCTATGATCTATCCTGGAGAAAATTCCATGTACACTTCAAGAGAGTGTATATTCTGTTCTTGGGTAGAGTTTTCTATAAATGTCTGTTAGGTCTAGTTAGTTGTTACTGTTAATCAAATTTTCTACTTCCTTGTTAATCTTCTGTCTAGTTATTCTATCCATTATTGAAAGTGAGGGTCAAGCGCGGTGGCTCTCGCCTGTAATCCCAGCACTTTGGGAGGCCGAGGCAGGTGGATCACGAGGTCAGGAGATCAAGACCATCCTGGCCAATACAGTGAAACCCCATCTCTACTAAACATACAAAAAATTAGCCAGGTGCGGGGGCGGGTGCCTGTAGTCCCAGCTACTCGGGAGGCTGAGGCAGGAGAATGATGTGAATCTGGGAGCTGGAGCTCGCAGTGAGCCGAGAGCACGCCACTGCACTCCAGCCTGGGTGACAGAGTGAGACTCCGTCTCAAAAAAAAGAGAAAAAAAAAAGAAAGTGGGGTACTGAAGTCTCCAACTATCACTGCTCAACTTTCTATTTTTCCCTTCAATTCTGTCCATTTTTGCTTCATGTATTGTGGACCTCTGTTATTAGGTGTTTATAACTGTTATATATTTATGATGAATTCACCATCTTATCATTATAAAATTCCCTTTTTATCTCTAGTAACATGTTTTTGTTTTAAAGTCTATACTACCTGATGTTAATATAACCACTCCAGCTTCTTACAGTGACTGTTTACATGATATATCTTTTCCACTCACTTACTTTTAACCTCTTTATATTTTTTAAATCTTAAGTGTGTCCCTTATAGACAACATATAGTTAGATCTTGTTTTTTTATCCAGTCTAAAATCACACTCAGATATTACTTACCAACTAGGATGGCTAAAATATAGACTAATAATGTCAATTATGACAGTAAATGAAATAAAAAGTCCTCTGATCACATACTGATACTGTGTAAATTGTTATTATCACTTTGCAAAAGTGTTTTGACATTATCCTTTAAAGGTAAAGATACATGGCTGGGCATGGTGATTCATGCTTGTAATCCCAGCACTTTGGGAGGCTGAGGCAGGCAGATCACGAGGTCAGGAGTTCAAGACCAGCCTGGACAACATGGTGAAACCCCATCTCTACTAAAAATACAAAAACTAGCTGGGCATGGTGGCATGCGCCTGTAATCCCAGCTACTCAGGAGGCTGAGGCAGGAGAATCGCTTGAACCTGGGAGGCAGAGTTTACAGTGAGCTGAGATCGCACATTGCACTCCAGCCTGGGTGACAGGGTGAGACTCTGTCTCAAAAAAAAAAAAAAAGGTGAAGATATATATACACATTCATGCCCTAAAAATTCCATTCCTATGTATAGACATAGCAATTACATGTACACCAAGAGATGCATTATTCATAACAGCTAAAAACAGGAAATAACCCAAATGTACATGAATAGAATAGACAATAAACTATGGTAAAATCATACATTGAACAGCAAATAGCAATGAAAATATAAGCAAAGTAATTTACACACAACATTGCTATATGTCAAAAACATAATATTGAGCAAAAGGAGTCTGACACAAAAGAATTCCACTGATATAAATCAAAGATATGGCGGGGAGTGGCGGCTCACGCTTGTAATCCCAGCACTTTGGGAGGCTGAGGCAGATGGATCACCTGAGGTCAGGAGTGTGTGACCAGCCTGGCCAACATGGTGAAACCTCATCTCTACTAAAAATACAAAAAATTAGCCGGGCGTGGTGGCACGCGCCTGTAGTCCCAGCTACTTGGGAGGCTGTGGCAGGAGAATCACTTGAACCTGGGAGCTGGAGATTGCAGTGAGCCGAGATCACGCCATTGCACATCAGCCTGAGCAACAAGAGCAAAACTCTGTCTCAAAAAGAAAAGCAAAACAAACAAAATAAGATGCCACTTTGTCTTCCATTCCAATATGTGGTAGACACTTAATTTTCCCTCAAATAATCAAATTACTATCTTTATTCCTTTAATTTTTTCTTCCCCATAGTCTTTATATGGTTTCCACATACACACATATTTTCCACATACACACAGTATTTTCTTACCTCAGTCAAGTTCTGTAAAATCCAGACCAATCTCAAAGAAGTCTGCTGGGTTGTGAAAGTGAACAAACTGGCTGTAAAAAGTCGTTTACTTCTAGTGAAAAAGTGAAGCACTCGGCAAGAACTGTGAAATATCTATATTTTAAAAAACATATTTTAGGAAAATGCATTTAGTAGTGTTTAAAATTTCCACATCAATTCTATATACATGCAAACAAACCCAATAACAAGTCATTTAACTACTTATAATAGTGTTTTCTGCAATTAAGAAAATAAAAAACAGCAATATTATCCTAAATGGGCAGTTTGTATTCTAACATATGAAATGCAACATATCTACTTTGAATTATTTTAGCAAATACCAGATGCTCAGGTACTTATTATAAACTTTTTTAAAAAAAAACAACTATATTTTTACCTCTCTACCTATTTTTAACTATGATAGTTAAAGGAGAGAATCTAGGAAGGAGGCTATATTTGTAGTATTCTTATTTCAGTGGGATATGTACACTTTAAGTTTATTGCAGGCCTCCCAGATAAATCTATACTATTTAGTAGAATAGCATTAATTCACTACTATTCCAATAGTAATAACATCTATATAAAGTTATCAGCTAATCTTTGATTTTGAAGGCTCATAGTCCAAATATTTTCACATTAATCATAATCTTATATCTTAGCTTCAATCTGCCTCTATGAATCAAAGACCTGAGAACTCTTAATACTAGACAACGAAGGATGAGCTCTTATTAGCTTTTTTCTTTCCTATTAGAAATTAAGTTTGCACTAACACAGACAGAAATTTCCCTATACATTAAGTACTTAAAATCTGGTTGTATGATTTTATTTAATACTACCTATACTTATCTAATGATCAAAGATAAGACATAAGCAAAATCTTTAATTTACAAAAAGCCTTAGGTATACAGAAAACAAGCTTTGAGTTTTAAGGTCTTTAAGACATACTAGGAAAAAAAAAAAAACCCTATCCTGCCACACACTACAGGGATGTAGATGGACACTTCAACTTGTAAAACTGATGTTTTACAAAACACTTAAGAAGTATTGCCCACTTCTTGTTGAACTTACCCACTTTTGTTAATCCTACCTCACTCCCTAAAATAAATTTAAAGATGTTGGTTTATTTGTGAAAAATAGTAATATAAATTTTTTTCTTTCATTTTTAATTGATAACACATCAATTAATAAAATTTGTAGACTCAGTTCTTTCAGTCTAGTCCTTTTAACTTCCTTCTCATCTTATTCAGTGCTCACACCTTCTTTATTTCTATATATATATACACACACACACACACACACACAAACACATACACACACACATACATATGGTTTTTGGTTTTTTTTGAGACAGAGTCTCACTCTGTTCCCCAGGCTTACATTTTTTTGCTTAGAGTGCTGGAGTGCAATGGCGCAATCTCAGCGCAATGCAACCTCTGCCTCCCAGGTTCAAGCAATTCTCCTCCCTTAGCCTCCAAGTAGCTGGGATTACAGGTGTGGATCACCACGCCTGGGTAATTTTTGTACTTTTAGTAGAGATGGGGTTTCACCATGTTGGCCAGGCTGGTCTCGAACTCCTGACTTCAGGTGATCCGCCCACCTTGGCCTCCCAAAGTGCTGGGATTACAGGCGTGAACCACTGCACCCTGTCATTTCTTTATATTTTACATGGCATATAGATTTTTCACATTATTTATTAAAACATAAGACTTTTTAAAAGTATTTAAAGTGACCACCCATAAGCCTTCTTCTGATTTGTTATAAGAAATAATTTAAACTAAAATGGGCAATTCCTCTTTATACACCCTACACTATTCTCATAAAAAATTAGATTTAGGACACTTCTGAGATCTTCTGTTAAAATGTAGATAACTCAGGATGGGTGGTGAGGTCATACAAAAATATTACAAGCTCTAATAACTGCACTTTTAGACAACATATAAACAATTAGCATCTTCATTCATATATCTAATGAGTATTTACTGAGTAACTTATAGCATACCAAGGACTGTTGCTAGGCCTTGTAAAAACAAATTGAACAATATGGGCAGAATCCTTGTCTTTTTAACATTTACATTTTAGTGAGAAGACAAATAAGCAATCAAGTCAATAAATAAGATGATTTAAGAAGACAGACTGTAAAATGAATCATTATTTAACATGCTACTAAGAAATGCATCCTGATTTCAGAGATGTTAAAATATAACTTATACATTGCTGATGGGAAAGTAAATGGTATAGTCACTCTTGAAAACAGTTTGGCAGATCCTTACAAAAGAAAACATGCAATTACCATATGACCTTGAGGTTTTTATCCCAGAGAAATGAAAAATTACATTCACAGAAAATTCTATACAAAGAACGTTCATAAAAGCTTTATTTGTAATAGCCAAAAACTGGAATCAGCACAGATGTCCTTCAACAAGTGAATGGTTAAATAAACTGTGATACAGCTGTACTATTGAATACAACTCAGCAACAGAAAGGAATAAACTACTGATACAGGCAACAACTTGAATGAATCTCCAGGGAATTATACTAAGTGAAAAAAGCAAATCCCAAAAGGTTATATATTTAAAAGTATAATCCTATGTATATAACATTTTTCAAATTAGAACATTTTTTAAATGGAGGACAGATTAGTGGTTGCCAGGAGCTAGGAATGAGAGAGGGTAGGGAGGTGTATAGGAGAGTGGTAGATATAGTTACAGAAGAACAACACAAGAGATCTTTGTAGTGACGGAACTGTTCAGTATCTTGCATATGCTCCTGGATGCATGAACCTACAGATAGGAAAAAATTGTATAGAACTTATATACATACACATACACACACACAAACACAGACAAATATAAAGTAAAACTGGGGAAATCCTAATAAAATTTATGGATTGTATTAATGTCAATGTCCTGGTTGTGATGTTATACTATAGTTTTTCAAAATTTTACCATGGGGAGAAAGTGCAAAGAGTCTAAGGGATCTCTGTACTGTTTCTTACAACTGCATGTGAATCTATAATTATTTCCATTTAATTTTCAGTTTAAAAAATGTGTATCTAAGAATCTTTGAAATTTAGTAAGTACAATGAAGGAAACAAAGGGCAACATAAGAGATTGAGGGCAAGGGGGTTCCTTTAAGTAGGGTGGCAGGGAAGGGTTCCCAGATGTGCTACATGAGCTCGACCCTAAAAAGATGAGAAGGATCCAGCCACGATGGCAGAGAGACCCCGTGCATGTACAATGGCCTTAAGGTAAGAAAGGGCTTGAGTGCTACAAGAACAAAAACAGGCTGAAAAAGATGCAGTTGCTAATCTTTAGCAACCTCAGGGAGAAAGAGGTCTAGGAGGTGGTCAGAAGTGTAGAAAGAGCCAAACCTTGGTAAGGAGTTGGGATTTTATGCTAAAAGCAAAGAGAAGAAAGCCTTAGCCATCATCAGGCAAGAATAAGAACAAAAAAGTAAGCGGAAGACCGGGCATCTGGGGAGACTGGAGGAAAGCAACAGTGGCAAGAGATTGCAAACACACCTCAATTACTTCACCATTTTGCTTCAGACTAGCCTTGGCCAAACTAATGACATTGGTGCCAGTTCTGGCAAAAACACTCTAAACATTTCCAAAGGCCACAATCAAACCATTAGCAACTGGAAAGGGATGATTGCAAAGTGGGGCTCCTTCACTGCCAGGACAGGCCCTAGAATTATGTGTGCTAAACTGTGAAAGCCTGTGTTTGTATAAATTTTTTTGCTAAGAGAACCAAAACTTTGATCATGTGCATGTTCAATATCAAGTAGACAAAAGTGCTTTAAATGCTCAATTTTGTGCTTGAGGTCACAGTTCTGCATTATGATTGGAAATTTGAGGCTTAGGCATGGTGGTTCATACCTGTAATACCAGCATTTTGGGAGGCTGAGGTGGGCGGATCACGTGAGGCTAGGAGTTCAAGACCAACCTGACCAACATGATGAAACCCTGTCTCTACTAAAAACACAAAAATTAGCCAGGCATGGCGGCATGTGCCTGTAATCCCAGCTACCCAGGAGGCTGAGGAAGGAGAATTGCTTGAACTCGGGAGGTGGAGGTTGTGACAAAGGGAGACTCCATCTCAAAACAAACAAACAAAAAAGATTTGAAATATGAGACATATTACAGAAGTAAATGTTTTCAAATCACAATTTTTCTTTTCAAATCACAATTTTTTTCAAAGCAATAAAAGTGTTAAACACCTCAATGACCAAATTAAAGAATGTTTGATGAACTATTAAAAACTAAAATTATATATTAAGGTATAAAATTATAGATTATAAATTACATAATTTAAAATTATACAATTGAGGGTTCATGACATTTCCTTATAACCACTTTTACTCCCTCAATTACTGTGTCCTTCTTATTAACAGCACCTCTCACAAGTTATTGCAGCAAGGTACATTTTTCTATATTAAACTATCAAAAAGGAAAATCAATTCAGGTGAGATTATGGCAAAATTGTTTCACTCATGCATTGCTGTTATATTCCATAATATATTCACATTTGTTTCCATATTAAATTAATATCATCAAATACTTATCAAGTAAAACTGATGCTGTAGACAGTCCCCTGGGCGCCATCTGATACCAGTACACTAGCAGAGAAGGCATTTAACTGTGAGGCATTATAAGTATTAAAATAATTAATATGGGCCAGGCGCGATGACTGACGCCTGTAATCCCCGCACTTTGGGAGGCCAAGGCAGGCGGATCATCAGGTCAGGAGATCGAGACCATCCTGACTAACACGGTGAAACCCCGTCTCTGTTAAAAATAGAAAAAATTAGCTGGGCGTGGTGGCATATGCTTGTAGTCCCAGCTACTTGGGAGGCTGAGGCAGGAGAATCACGTGAACCCAGGAGGCAGAGGTTGCAGTGAGCTGAGATCGCGCCACTGCACTCCAGCTTGGGCGATAGAGCAAGACTCCATCTCAAAAAATAACAATAATAAAATAAAATAATTAATATGGAATATTGATTATGACATAAAATACTGTAGGTCTGACACCACTCGAGGAGCTGGAAAACTGTTTTACCCTTTGACTCGGGAATCTCACACTCAGGAGTGAGGGCAATTTGAGACAAATAACAGAAGAACAGCTGACTTCATGATGTTGCTATTGTCACTGTCACCATCATCATTGTCATTTACTGATGCCTACTATGTATCAGGCATAATTTGGTATTGTTGGCTTTGAGACAGGATCTCACCGTGTCACCCAGACAGAGTGCCCTGGAGTGCAGTGGCAATCACTGCAGCCTTGAACTCCTGGGCTCAAACAATCCTCTCACCTCAGCCTACCAAGTAGCAGGGACTAGGGGTCCACACCACCATGTTCAGCTAATTTTGCATTATTTGTAGAGATGAGGTCTTACCATGTTGCCCAAGCTGGTCTTGAACTTCTGGCCTCAAGCAATCCCCCTGCCTCAGCCTTCCAAAGTGTTGAGATTACAGGCGCGAGCCATCATGCCTGTAATGATAAGAGCTTCTAACAGTCTGCTAGTTATCTATAATATCTCAATATCCATCCTGAGCTTTTATAAAAGATGAAATTTGGGCATTTCATTCATCTAGTCTGTATCTTTTCCATTTCTCAAGGACAGAAACACAAATTCTCACTAACATGTGAAACTCTGGTCCACCACAAACCTCCTTAGAACTTCCTGAGGTACAAGTACTGAAGTCTACCACATACGCCTTTGATTGGCTATTATTAAACTTCACTGGAATGGGGAGTGTGTGCGTATGTCTTCTTAATGTCCTAAAACAAAATAGGTAGGAAATAATACAATTAAGGGACATTTACAGAAAAAAAAAACCAACAATATCCAAATCACACAAGAAAAAGATTACCTTCATAAGAAGAGAATTATTCCAAGATTTTACAAGTTCAACAGCTCTTAAGTCTTGCCAACTTATAAAGTTGTGAAAATGATTTCCTGTTTTCCTAGAAAGAATAAAACAGTATTTTGAGACCCAGCATAAATCAGAGACTATGTTAAAGATGTGCCATAAGAGAAAACAAAATTAGAGGCCATACTGTAATTGCAAAGTATAATTTAGTTACATGTGCCTTTCTGAATGATTTCTTCTTGATTTTATAAGTTGAACACACTGCACAACAATTATGTGACATATAGTATGAAATGTATATACTTCCAAAACCAAAACTAACTAAGGAAAAGGCCTTTGAAGACCTGCTCTACACACTTTAAAAGCAGATTTTTTAAAAGCCAATGCTTTTCCCCTTTACTGCACTTGTCCTGATACACGTAATCCAACAAAAACCTCCTGACCTACAGAAGAGCTGAAATATTGCCTGAGCCTAGTTCTACATCTGTTAACTTTAGGATTGGCTTAGCCATTGGCAACCTAACATGCTTACCAAAATCTCTCCAATAAATAGAAATTCAACAACTCTTGGGTCAATACTACAATAAAAGTACAGAGCTAAGAAATATAGAAGTAAAAAAAAAAATCCTTTTTCCTTTGCGGCTCCCGCAAATCAACCTCTGGCATCTACTAATCAACATCCAAGTCAAGTTTGCTTTCTACCCCAACTCCAGGCCTCCTCCTGTGAGACCTGAACCATGTTCAATTGCTAAGATTCATTCTCTACTTAAGCATTCCACACCCATGGTCATATCCTCACCTTTACATGGTCTACCACTCAAAGTCTAATGCTCCAATATTAGTCAGCACATAGGAAGAAAAGTTTTCAGTTTTCTCAATCTTACTCCTTAAATACCTGGCCTTCCAACTCACTGCAACCTTTAATCCCTCAAACATTCCCTTTTCTTCCGACCAACCACTCCTAACTTTGGCTACTTTCCCATATCTCATGGTCTATTACTTTAATAGCTTGCCATTGCACTCTCTAATACTTAACTGTAAAAAAAAATTGTGGCAAAATATACATAATATGAGGTTTACCATTTTACCTATTTTACGTGTACAATTCAGTGGCAGTAAGTACATTCACAACGTTGTGCAACCATCACCACTGTTTTTAAAACTCTCATCACCCCAAACAGAAGCTCTATAACAATTAGGAAATCATTCCCCATTCCTTCCTCACCCCATCCCTTATAGCCCCTATTCTGTTTTCAGTGTCTATACATTTGCCTATTCCAGGTATATCATATATAAGTAGAATTATACAATATTTGTTCTTTTATATTTGGCTTACTTCACGTAGTATAATATAACTTAGCTTTCTAGATTGATCCATGTTGTAGCATGTATCAGAAATGTATTCCGTTTTATGGCTGAACAATATTTCAACGTATTTATATACTACATACCATTTATCAATTCATCTGTTGGTACACACTTGGGTTGTTTGTACTCTTTGGTTATCGTGATTACTGCTGCTTTAATATTGTTGTGAAGTATCTGTTTGAGTCTTTGTTTTCAATTTTTTTAGGTATATACCTAGAAGTGGAACTGCTGGGTCATATAGTAATTCTATGTTTAACTTTTTGAGGAACTGGCAAACTGTTTTCCGCAGTCGTTGCACCATTTTACATTTCTACCAGTAATGTATGAGGGTTCCAATTTTTCCAAATCCTCACCAACACTTGTTATCTTCCTTTTTTTAAAATTCTCACCATTCTAGTGGGTGTGAAGTGGTATCTCATTATGGTTTTAATTTGCAATTCCCTGATTACTAATGACATTGAGCATCTTTGTGTGTGCTTATTGACCATCTGTGTATTACTCAAGTCCTTTGTCCATTTATGAACTGCATTGTTGCTTTCTTGTTGTTGAATTGTAGGAATTCTTTACATGTTCTAGATATTAACCCCTTACTAGGGATTAGGGATTAATATGTTACATGCTTCGAGGTTACAATTTGCAAATATTTTCTCCCATTCCATGACTTGTTTTAGACAGTATCTCTGAGGGATTATCTAATCTCAACCCTATTCAATGGGTAAAATCTTTGGGAGGATCCACTATCGTTAATTTTGTTCTGTGTATAATTTGTGCTATTGGTTTATTGTTCACGTGTAAAATTGGAAAAATTATTCTTCAATCCAATCGTGATCAGCACCAACCTATGATTGCTACGGTTCATTTAAATCAGAGAAAAGGGGGAGATGTAGGGAGACCCCCTGAAACTATGGCTACAGAATAAAAGATGAAATGCTCCTGATTATTGTAAATACAAAATTGCATGTAGGACTGTGTAAAGACAATGCCAGGTTGGACTGCCAGAATGAGCCAACAGCGGGTGATGTGCTTCCCCCTGCAGAAAGCCTATGAATGGACATGCAGTCAGGGAGGTTTCACATCACCAAGATTCCTATCCCAGAAAAGCAGATGTTCATAGCTCTGGGAATGGAATGTGACCCTTGTGGAGAGCCTATAAACGGACGCATGAGGGGGGTGCCTATCCATATGGATAAGATAGGGCTATAAACGCCCTCATCTTGCCACGGCTCTTCTAGGCCTCTTTAGGGTTAAGACATACTCCCTTCTGAGAATTTCTGGTCTAACTGGTTGTCTAGCTTCACGTCCTGTTTCCATGGATTGTTTCTAACCAGCTTTTGTTGCAACTGTTACTGCTGATCAATATCTTGCTAATCATAGGTTATGGAAAGATTGTGTTTCTGTTTTAAGGCTCTGTTAGAAATTACTGATGCACACATTATATTGTAAATTCTTATCTCTGTATACTGTACTTCTACATACAAATGTACTGTACTTCTACATACAAATGTTATGTTAAAGAATTACTTCATCCCCATGTGACCATCTCACCTCATAATCAAATGACCCTAAATCTCTCACTAACCTACCCCCGCCCTCACTAAACTTAATAATAAATGCTGGTATATCCAGTGCATTGTTGGCACCGCAGGACCAGAAGGCGGTGACCCCCCTGGACCCAGCTTTCACTATCTTGTTTGTGTCTATTATTTCTCAACCTGCTGATCCACCTAGGAACAAAGAGAGAGCCCCGTTGTATTGCGGGCTGCTGGCCAGATCACGCAATATTCACTCTGTTGATAGGGTCCTGTTTTTCACCTTTATTAATGGAAATCGCAACATTTACCTAGATCATGAGCATGTTACTTCTTTTCGCTTTAGAGATCCAAATGGTCACCATTATCATGAGTACAAATCAGAGGAGTGATTTCCTATTGTTTTAGTCCTCAATCTTGGATGAAATTACAAATCAAACCTACCAAGATGCACACCTTCCACGTTACATGCTGCAGGTGGTTTTCTGAAGCCTAACTGCATATTAGATATCAATGACTAAATTTTTTCAGACATTTTTTAAATGCAAATTGCACATTATGTCAAATTAATTTTAACATAGCTTACTTATTATTTATAATTAAATTTAGGGTAATTTTTCTACTTTGGAGAGTTCCAATAGTTAAGAAAATTGAAAAATTAGTCATCATAAACAAATGAAAAAATAAATGTCCTTTGATATATAAAGTCCAATTTATCTATTTTTTATTTTGTTAACTGCTTTTGATGTCATTTAAGGAATCACTGCCAAATCCAAAGTCATGATGATTTTCTCCTGTTTTCTTCTAAGAGTTTTTAGTTTATAGTTTAAGCTTTTAAATGTAGGTCTTTGATGCATTTTGGGATTCATTTTTGTATATGGTATTAGGTAAGGGTCCAATTTAATTCTTTTGCATGTGAATGTTCAGTTTTCCCAGCACCATCTGTTGAAAAAACTATTCTTGTTCTGCTGGCTGGTCTTAGCACCTTTGTCAAAGATCAGATTGTGTTTGATAAAGATAAAATCTATTGATATATAATTCTTCAGAGCCATTCTACAACAGCACATACTTATACACTTAAATCTGATGTTCAATCACTGGTTTCAGCAAAAATTTATAAGCCAATTTGTACCAGGAGTTGGGTACACAGCTATGAACAGAGACACACAGCACTTTTGCCCTGATGACTGTACTTTCTACCAGGGAATGTAAACAAATAATCAATTACTCAGTTGCTCACTTACAGCTGGAATACGCCCTATAAAGGATAAATAGAGGCCGGGCGTGGTGGCTCACGCCTGTAATCCCAGCACTTTAGGAGGCCGAGGAAGGCGGATCACGAGGTCAGGAAATCGAGACCATCCTGGCTAACATGGTGAAACCCCGTCTCTACTAAAAATACAAAAAATTAGCCGAGCGCGGTGGCGGGCACCTGTAGTCCCAGCTCCTCGGGAGGCTGAGGCAGGAGAATGGCGTGAACTCGGGAGGCAGAGCTTGCAGTGAGCCGAGATAGCACCACTGCACTCCAGCCTGGGCAAAAGAGTGAGACTCCGCCTCAAAAAAAAAAAAATGGATAAATAGAGGTGCCATGAGAGTATTTAACAGATGGCCCCTGTGTGGTGGTCAGTGAAGGCTTCAGAAATGGCAATGGATCTCAGCTCTGAAGGATAAGAAGGAATCAGAAGTATGAACATTCCCAACAAAATGTGCTATATGTTCAAATGTCCTAGAGCAAGATAAAGCGTGTCTTAGAGGAACTGAATGGCTAGTGTGGCTGAAAAGCAGTGAGGGGGAGAGACAAAATCACAAGATGAAAGTGGCATCATTAATTTATAACATAGAACAAGACAATCTAGAATACTGATTTTTCAAGTAATAGCATACATTCCAATATTCACTCAGCACTGACCTGGGTTTATTTTATCTCTATCAACAAAAAAAGGAAAAATGAAGGAAAAGTATAAATGGCAATGTTGTAAATTAATTGTCTTAAACCCTTCTAACACTTTACATCATTCTGTGGCTCTTAATATATTTTAAGTCATAAGTATTTGGTAAGACTCATTAATGTAAGTATCAAATACTACAATAAAAATCTATTTTGTGCAATGGGAATATAGAGTAATTTGTGTACCTATATAATGAGATTGTAAATTAGGGCTGGTATTCTTATTCATCTGTATACGCAGTGCAGCCCCCAGCACGGTGCATTACTCCCTGTGAGCCCTCAAACAGTTATGAGTGAATCCAGGCTCCCATGACTCACAGTTTGTGTTGCTAATTGGCACACACCCTGATCTGAAGTTAGCTGGCAGAAATCTCCCAAGAGACATTGACTAAAGAAACAAAACAGCTCGTGATTTTTTTTTTTTAGAACAAAAGGAATTTAAAAGAACCAAAATGGAAGTGTTATCAGTTAGAGTTATTTTAGAAAGCAGGCTAAACACACCACTTTTTGAATATATTGGAAAAAAAGCTTAACCTGAAGAACATGAAGAAAGCTCAAAGACTGAAAAAAGTTCGTAAGTTTCCTGGTCCCTAACAGGGGGATGGGGGAGAGATAGGGAGAAAAACAAAAAGAAAGTTCAAAGTTTTAGACCTCCTGACAGCAACTGTGAGGAAAATAATGTTTCTATGGCCATGAGGACAGAAATGCACCATGGATGCAGGAGGAAAAAAACAACAAGCTGGGAGGAGGAGCTGCTGGCCAGGACTGGAACGAACAATAGGTTTTTCCACAGGATCTAGTCTGTCTCTCCTTTTCTCTCACAAATGAACAATTAGTGCTTCTGGCTGGCCCTGTGCTGTGCCCATCTGTGTTGTGTCCCGGCTGTTTGCTAGGGCTCTTGTGGAATCTGTCAGCATCATACACCACATTGGCTCCCTGGGGCCCAATGAGCAGAATAGGCTCCGCTCCATTATTTTAATGTAAAAGAAGCACAAAGGCTTTCAGTCTTTCTTCAAAAAATATCCACTATTTCAGTTTCTACAAGCAAAGAATGTTCCCAAAACTCATGAAAGAATACAAACATTTCAAAAAAGAAAAAAGGACAGCCAAGATAAAAAACTCACAATGAATTGCTTTAGGAAGAAGTCTTATCCCTCTACAACACCACCACCACCAGTAAGGAAAGTGAACTGTCTTGAAATCTAACTCTTCTATTCCTTCTAATGGTGATGTATAGTCCTAGCATCAGACAAAAACTCTGCTTCCTAATATTCCGACCTTACTGTCATGAGTGATATGGTAGCCAGGTCCTGATGAAAGCAATCACTGGGGCCAATGGCCAAGTGAATATGACACATCCAATCAGTTCTTTCCCTGAGAATACTCCTCCCTCCACTTTCATCCATCCACTTCCCAGATTAGCGTTGGTCCTGCTTTGCTGGCTTTTTCTTCCCTGACTCACTTTAAATTTGGTGGGAGCAGGGACCCGCAGTCCAAATCCTTAGCTTGCTTTTCTTTTCTCCACATAATCTCTACCAGAGAACACACCTATTTTTTGAGACTTCATCTACACCAATGGTTCCAAATTGGGGATGTCCCCAGGGGACGTTCAGCAATGTTTTGAGACATTTATGGTTGGTACAAATGGTGGTGAGGTGGGCTGGGGTGCTACTGACATCTAGTGGGTAGAGGCCAGGGATGCTGCTGAACAGCTGCAACACCACAGGACGGTCCCCATGACAACGAATTATTCAGCTCAAAATGTCAACAGGGTCACTAAGATTAGATACCTTATCTGTACAGGTAAGTTTAATTCATTCACCCCTTCATCTGACAATATACTACTGTATAAGATTTATTTAAGATTTGCCATAACCAAGGCCAGTGCTGGGGAGTGGAGTAAGCACAGAGGAACTGCAGATGTAGGCATCAATCTGAGATGCAGCATGTCCTGAAAAAAAAGAGTACTGGGCCGAGCATGGTGGCTCACGCCTGTAATCCCAGCGCTTTGGGACGCCAAGGCAGGCAGATCACTTGAGGCTCAGAGTTCAAGAACAGTCTAGGCAACATGGTGAGACTCCATCTCTATAAAAATTTTAAAAATTAGCCAGCCATAGTGTGGTACACACCTATAGTCCTAGCTACTTGGGAGGCTGATGTGGGAGGATCCCTTGAGCCCACGAGTTCGAGGCTGCAGTGAGCTATGATCGTGCCACTGCACTCCAGCCTAGGTAGCAAAGTGAAGACCTCATCCCCCAAAAATGAAAATAAAAAGATCCTATCTGATGGAGATGTGCTATGCCTCAGTCCAAGTTAAACCAATGTTCTAGTCACCTCTGAGATATCTCCACATTCACACGTCCAAAACCAAACATTTTATCATTTTTCCTTCTACCTACTCTCACTACTACCCAGCCCATTCCTCCTTACATTCTCTATGATTTCTATCATACAGCCCAAACATCAAGGCCAGCAGTATTGGTAAATTCAAATTTCTTCTTCCTGCCCAATACTGAATTAGAAGCCAAGTCCTTGTGAATTCACCCTAATTATATTTTTCAGATTCATCTTTTCCCCCTCTGCTCACTTTTCTTTCCCACTGCCCAAGCTCAAGATGTCCTTTGGAGCCTAATGCTTTAACAAAAACACATTTTACAGTGGTGTGTGTGGGTACGTGGGCGGGGGGATTTTGGGGGAGGGAATGTGGGTGTGTGTTTAAACCAAGACACAGAGAAACACATGCTAGCTGGGGGAGGTGGCTGAGGTGGAAGAATTGCTTGAGCCAAGGAATTCGAGACCAGCTTGGCAATATGGTGAAACCCCGTCTCTACAAAAAATACAAAAAAATTAGCCAGGCATATTGGAGTGCACCTGTAGTCCCAGCTACTCAGGAGGCTAAGGCGGGAGGATTACCTGAGCCTGGGAAGTTGAGGCTGCAGTGAGCTGTAATCATGCCACTACACTCCAGCCTGGGTAACAGAGTAAGACCCTGTCTCAAGAAAAAAGAAAAAGAAAAAGAAAGAAACATGTTGAAGGCAATATGGGGATAGTATAAAGAACATACGCTTCTGAGTCAAAAAGACAATTTAGAATCTTGGCTCTATTTGCTCCCTGAGCAACCCTGAACAACTTATTTCTCTGTAAAAACAGATATGATGCCTAAATTATAGGTTTGTTGTAAGGATAATGGAACTTGGGACTGTCACAGATGTTTACTATACAGTAGCTATTACAATATTATAACTGTGTTTAGAGTATATATGCCTCATATGCTATAGACAAATATTTTCTTTTTTTTTTCTTTTTTTTTTTTTGAGACGGAGTCTCGCTGTCGCCCAGGCTGGAGTGCAGTGGCGCAATCTCGGCTCACTGCAGGCTCCGCCCCCTGGGGTTCACGCCATTCTCCTGCCTCAGCCTCCCGAGTAGCTGGGACTACAGGCGCTCGCCACCTCGCCCGGCTAATTTTTTGTATTTTTAGTAGAGACGGGGTTTCACCGTGTTAGCCAGGATGGTCTCGATCTCCTGACCTCGTGATCCGCCCACCTCGGCCTCCCAAAGTGCTGGGATTACAGGCGTGAGCCACCGCTCCTGGCCGCTATAGACAAATATTAAATTTAGAGTAGACTGAAAATATAAACCATAGTACAGTACTGTGTTTCTGAAATTTGTGAGTTTCCTCTGACTCTTTTTAGGTATAATTTTTTAGATCTTTGATCTATGCTTGTTTGAAAAGCTAACTTACCCGAAAGAAAGAAATGGATAATTTTAATGACAGTTAAGTCTTTTTGTGGTATTATATAATATAAGTCAAGCCCAAATGACATGCAGTGAGCATACAAGCCAGAAAGCAGGCACATTTCATCCCTCTTAACCAAACGAAACTATTCTCAATTCAGAAAGTTAAAACTCCCCAAAGAGATTTCATAACCGTGTACTCACTGTGGCATGAACCCAGCAGTAGGGTGCTTATCACAGAATGTACTTACTTGTTCCACGTAATAAAAGTTGCTCTCTGTGTTGAAATGCCAAGACCAACAATTTGATTCATCTGTATTCCTGCAGCTAAAAGTAAAGATGGATAAAACACATGTTTTAAAGCCAGTGATATTTTTCTTTATAATATTACAATATAGAAAAAGAAATCCAATATAATCTTTAAGAAAAATACCTGGGTTTAGCATTCTAACAAAACAACTGGAATTAACAAATAAAGCATTACTAAGATGATTCTGCAGCATTTTTTTTTTACTTGAAGAAAACAAAGGTTGTTTCTTGTTTTTTGTTTTTGTGTTTTTTGTTTTGAGACAAAGTGTCACTCTGTTGCCCAGGCTGCAGTGCAGTGGCACAATCTTGGCTCACTGCAATCTCTGCCTCCCGGGTTCAAGCAATTCTCCTGCCTCAGCCTCCCAAATAGCTGGGATTATAGGTGTGCACCACCCTGCCTGGCTAATTTTTTGTATTTTTAGTAGAGACAGGGTTTTACCATGTTGGCCAGCCTGGTCTCAAACTCCTGACCTCGGGTGATCCGCCCACCTTGGCCTCCCAAAGTGCTGGGATTACAGGTGTGAGCCACTGTGCCCGGCCTTAAAGGTTGTTTCTGAATAACAAAGTAGCTTTTTTTGTTTTAGGTGCTGGGAAAAAAACAAATACTATTCAAAGTATGTCAGATTTATTTTTTCTTGGTAATAATAAGATTGGATCTTAATTTAAGCAATGATCAATCATAATAGAAGCTGGTTAATGACAATAAAGGAAAACTCTCAAGGAAAGTAGTCTAATTATTGAAGCTGAGACCTTATTTTCAACACAAACTGATGCCAGGATGCAAACAAAAATATTGACTTTTTGGTCCAAATTTCTTAAAATATAGCAACTCGAGTATTTTTTGTGATATTCTTTAAAAATCTATTTATCCCACCGGGAAAATCTGGGACAACTTCAATTTGAGCATTGAGAAAAACACATCAACTCCCATATAGTATTCCAAAGTTATTCAACCTGAATCTAACTGGGAGGAAACAATCAGAAAACCTCAAAATGAGGGACACTCTACTAAACTGGCTTGTACTTTTGAAAATTGCCAATGTCATAAGAATGTGCTCTAGATGAAAGGAGCCTAAGCCGACTGACAGCTAAATGCAATGCCTCCTCTTTGGCTGGGTTCTAGATTGAAAAAAGAAGTTTTTTTGTTTTTTGTTTTCACTAAGACAAGAGCAAATACTGAAGACAGAGTATTAGAAAACAGTGCTGTGTTAATGTTATACTTCCTGAGTGTTATAATTGCATTGTGGTTATAGGAGAAAATACTCCTTTCCTATGGTTCAGAAAGAAAAAAACAGTTTGCAGAAAATGGTAAATATTACAAAATATGTTTGAATCTATGAGAAAGATATACAAGAGTTTATTGTACTATTCTTGCAACTTTTGCATAGACTGAAATATTTCAAACCAAAAAGATGAGAAGAAGCAGTTCAGCCAGAAAAATGAAGTAAAAGATCTTTCAGAATTTACAAGTAATCTTTGCCATGTTCTCAAGCAAGGTGGCCATTTCAATGTTTTGAGATGTTGTCAATGTTTAAGAATGTTTCTAACATTCTTAAAGAACTAAGACTTAGACCATAGCTTTGGCCAGGAAAGCACTTTATGTCAAATGGCCAGAAAAAAACAAATAAAAACTCATTTTACAATAGAAATAACTCAGTTGTAAACCCATGAGAGTAGAAGCTATACACTGTAACTTCTGTTTATAATCCTCTGGTATTTTGTGCCAAACAGGAAATCAAAACAGCACTAGCTATAACCTGGAATGAGGAAATGGCGAGCATTTATATTACAGTCGAAAAGAGACAAACCAGAGGACACAGCAGATGTTACCTTTCCCTGACAAAGGAGCTCACTGTGAATTACAAATTTCCGTTGAAAAATACTGGGAAACTGTAATCCCAATAAAATACTATATATATGTATAACTTAGGAAAACCACAACTACAGAAGCCTGAGGAAAACTATTACAAAAAAAAAACCATAAAGATTATTGTTATTTTTATAAATCCAATTACCTTTGACTGCTTCTTTTATTACGGCAACAAATTGAATCCAAAGAACATCAGGATCAATTTCTACCCAGCCAATTTGAGGATAAAGATTTTCTACCTATTAAGGAAAAGAAGATTTAGTAAAAACAGCATTAGATCAAGTCAATAGTATGGGTCTTTGGGTCTCAAAACTACTGGTTAAAATAATTAACATGATTTTATTATCTAATTAATTTTTATTGTTAAAATTGAAAAAGACACATTTATGAGATAAAAAAGGACTATATGCCAACACCAAATAGCAGTAACTCATGAGTTCACAGAAGACTTTAGCTTTGTTTATCTCTACTTTTATTTTCTAAGTTTTCTACAAGAAGGTGTGTTTTTAAAATAAGAAAAAAGGCTTTTAAAAAATTAAAAATAAATTTTAAAAAAAGTGAATTCCAGTTCAGACCACGATAGAGTAAGCACACTCCACCCTGTCTCTTCCGCTAAATACAAATATAACACCTGGACAGAATGCATGGAGCAGCCATTGTGGACTCTTAAAAAGTATATGGCAGCAGGTGGACTGGGGAAGTAGATAAGAATTCAGGTACCATGGAACTGGTGGTGAGTTTCCCATTTTTCTTCTGAAATCCCCTGGCTTAGACTCAAGACATCCTGAAAACCAGAACTGGGAGCTAGGGCACAGAGGAAGTGCCAGGATAAGCTCTACTGTTTTGGCTCAAAGAATGAGAAAGGGAACTCCTAACACTCAGAGGAAATGGGGCAGATCTCCCATTTTTCTTTTTTCCCTTGTCTCCATACTTTTATACCCACAAAATCCTGCAGCAGTGGCAGCAGCAGTTAATAATGGTATCGGTGCGTCTCAACAGGTACCTAAAATCCTGAGGAAGGTAAAACTTCCTCTCCAATCAGATGAGCGGTGATCCCAAGAGGGTGTGGTCAACCCCTATGGCTTTTTTCTCTGTGTGTTTCTGCTGCCTAACCCCAGACATACCCAGCCGAGTGGAGTAATAAAAGCCCCAGCTTTTTGGCCGGGGACCACCAGGGGAGGTTCAGGGAATCAAAAAGTACCAGAACCATCTCAGAGAGGGAGGAACTTGGAAAAGATACCACAGAAAGTTGTGTATGAACTCTTAGGCTCACCCCAAAGCTGCACTTGCATGGATGTAATCCTAAACACTATACCAAAAATACTAAGAACAGAACTAAAGGATAGATCACTGCCCAGGTCCCAGACTGACTACTAGGTTGCACACACACAGGGCAGATCCAAATAGTACTGCCAAGATTTTGAAAACAAATCTGACATTGAAACTGCAGTCAGAAGACTGAATTTGTAGCCTGAACCCAAATGCAATAAATACCTGCTAAAAGAAAAACAACAAAAATCCTCATAGGATTTATAAAAACCCCAGGGTCTTTTAACATAATATTCAAAATTTCTTGGATACAATCCAAAACTACAAGGTATATGAAGAACCAGAAAAATCTTAACTCACATTGGAAAAGATAATCAAGAAATGTCAATGCCAAGATGACACAGATATCTGATAAACAGTCTAAAGCAGCTATTATGAAAATACTCCAAGAGGAGTGAATACACTTGCAACAAATGGAAAGACAGTCTCAGCAACGGTAACTGCAGTAATCATTTAACTACGTATGTGTATATCAAGGTCAGTATATCAGGACATCATGAAGAATGGCTTAAATATATCCCATTTTAAAAAGAAAGAAAAAAGAAAGTCATAAAAGACATAAAAAAGAAAAGTTTTAGAATTGAAAAATGTACTGATCAAAATTTAAAACTTACTGGATGGGCTCAATAGCAGAAGGGAGATAGAAGAAAATTAATAAACTTGAAGATAGACCAATAGAAATTATCTGCACAACAGAAAGAAAAAAGATTGGAGGAAAAAGAAGAACAAAGCCCCAGGACATAGCAAAAGGTCTAATATTTGTTTAATCAGGGGTCTCCAAAGAAGAAAAGAAAGGGTTCAGAACAGGAAAAAAAATCACTTGAGGGAAGTAACAGTGCTAAAAGCTGCCCAAGTTCAGTGAAACCTATATATTCAAGAGGCTCAGGAAAACTTTACCAGAATGAACCCAAAGCATTACACACCCAGATATCATAATTAAAATGCTGAAAACTAAAAGCAAAAAGTTTGAAACCAGACATTTCACATATACAGAACAAAAATTTAAATGACCGTGGATTTCTCATCAGAACCATGAAAGCCAGAAATAAGTGGCTCAACATTTACAGTGTGCTAAAAGAACTGCCATCCCAGATTTCTATAACAAAATCCCAATAGTATTTTTTGTAGATTCTAAAATTTATGCAAGGCAAAAAAACTAAAATAGCCAAAACAACGTTGAAAAAGAATAAAGTCAGAGAGGAAAAAAAAGAATAAAGTTAGAGGCACACTACCCAATTTCAAGACTTACTATAAAGCTACAGTAATCAAAATAGTATGCTATTGGCATAAAAACTGACACATAGATCAATGGAACAGAATACAGAGTCCAGAAATAGACTCACACAAATATGACTAGCTGATTTTCAACAAAAGTACAGGGGCAATTCCATGGAGAAAAGATAGTTTTTTCAACAAATGGTGGTGTAACAATTGGACATCCATATGCAAAAAAAAAAAAAAAAAATCAGGCCAGTCATGGTGGCTCACGCCTGTAATCCCAGCACTTTGGGAGGCTGAGGCGGGCATATTGTCTGAGCTCAGGAGTTCACAACCAGCTTGGGCAACGCGGTGAAACTCCGTCTCTACTAAAATACAAAAAAAAAAAAAAAAATAGCTGGGTGTGGCAGTGGTACCTGTAGTCCCAGCTACTCGTGAGGCTGAGGCAGGAGAATTGCTTGAACCCGGAAGGCAGAGGTTCAGCGAGCCGAGATCAAACCACTGCACTCCAGCCTGGGCGACAGAGCAAGGCTCCATCTCAAAAAAAAAAAAAAAAAAATCAACCTCAACCCAAACTTTGCAACTTACAGAAATTAACTCAAAATGGATCAAGATCTAAATGTAAAATGTAAAACTATAAAATGTTTAGAAGAAAATGCAAGAGAAAATTCTTGTGACTTGGGGTTAGGCAAAGAGTCCTTAGAACACCAAAAGTATAATTCATATAACAAAAAGTTGATAAATTGGACTTCATCAAAGTTAAAAACATTTGTTCTGCAAAAGATACTGTTAAGAAAATAAAAAGACAAAAGTACAGACTGGTAGAAAATATGTACAAATCACATATCCAGCACATGACTAATATCCAGAATATATAAAAAATTTCAAAACTCGACAGTAAGAAAACAAAGAACTCAATTTGAAAATGGGCAAAAGACTTCAAGCACTCCACTAAAGAAAACATGTGGATTACAAATATGTACATGAAGTTAGATATTCAGCATCATTAGCCATTAGAGAAATGCAAGTCAAATCAAATAAGTTTTAAAAACTAATGATACCAAGTATTGATGAGGATGTGGAACAACTGGAACTCTGATACATTGTTGATGAGAATGCAAAATGGTATGGCCACTCTGAATTTCTTGCTAAGATAAACATTCACTTACCATATAACCTAGCAATCCCACTCCTAGGTATTTACCCTAGAGAAATTTACCCTATAAGGTTGTACACAGGACTGGTTCAAAGCTTTTTAATATTCCCCTTAAAATCTGTACACTAATGTTTATAGCAGCTCTATTAATGATCACCAGAAACCAGAAATCACCTAAATGTACTTCAACAGGTGAATGAATGTAGTACATCCATATGATAGATACTACTCAGAAATAAAAAAGAATAAACAAGTGATATACATAACAATATGGACAAATCTCAAAGGCATTATGCTGAAAAAAATCCAGTCTCAAAAGGCTACTTGCTGTATGATTCCATTTATATGACATTCTCAAAAAGACAAGACTGTGTTACGGAAAACAGATCAGTGGTTACTAGAGGTTAGGTGAGTGGGGAGATGTGACTACAATAAAGTAACACAAGGGAGCTTGGGGATTACTTCTACACATGTCCTAAAGTTCACATAACTATACACCAAAAGTCGATTTTACTTTAACTTAAAAAATAAAATAAATTTTGTATGCTGGATGCAGTGGCCTGTAATCCAGTACTTTGGGAGGCCGAGGTAGGAGAATTGCTTGAGCCCAGGAGTTCAAGATCAGCCTGAGCAACATGGCAAAACCCCATCTCTACAAAAATACAAAAAGGGTGTAGTGGCCCACACCTGTAGTTCCAGCTACTCAGGAGTCTGAAGTGGGAGGATCACTTGAGTCCAGCAAGTAGAGGATACAGTGAACTGTGGCCACGCCACTGCACTGCAGCCTGGGAGACAGAGGGAGACTGTCTCAATCAATCAATCAATAAACAAATTTCATAAAAATCTATGGCTTCAAGTCAAAATGATGGCTTAAACATATGCATGTATCTCCAATTCCTCCCAGTCTATTAAAAGGAAAACATTAACAAGGTTTAAATGCACAAGGACAAAGAGAAGAGCAAATAGGATCAGACCAGATTTTAACAAATTTTTTTTTTTGAGACGGAGTCTCGCTGTGTTGCCCAGGCTGGAGAGCAGTGGCGCAATGTCAGCTCACTGCAAGCTCCACCTCCCGGGTTCACACTTCTCCTGCCTCAGCCTCCTGAATAGCTGGGACTACAGGCACCCGCCACCACGCCTGGCTAATTTTTTGTATTTTTAGTAGAGACGGGGTTTCACTGTGTTAGCCAGGATGGTCTTGATCTCTTAACCTCGTGATCCGCCCGCCTCAGCCTCCCAAAGTGCTAGGATTACAGGCGTCAGCCACCGCGTCTGGCAACAAATGTTTTTAATACGAACAGTGAGTGGGCAGATGGTACATGGCTTAGGACAGAGGAGGAAATGCCAATACCTCACTGCCTGCTCAGATTACACTGCACCTCTACTCACCTTGGCTCCCATTTCACTCAGAGTAAAACCATTATTCCTTATAATGGCCTATAAGACCAGAGTCAGGTCACCTCTACCCTTCTCCTCAGAATGTGAGTTCCTAGAGGGCAGGGAATGTGTCTCCTTAGTTCATTTTATCCCCAGCATCTAGAAGTGCCTATGGTTTCTTAGATATTCCATAAATATAAAGTGAGTATATGAATGAACATATGAGTGAACTATGAGAGTGATGCCCGTAAGCAAAGGGCAGAGATTCTAGGGTGGAACTCTGGAAATTAGAGGTTCCTCTGAAAGCTGGGATGCCAGATGGGGTTGTACGTAGGACTGGTTCAAAGTCTTTATAAGGAGCCCCAATTCCTTTCCTCCAGCCAGATCACTGCCCCTCCCTAACCTGGCAGAAAGAGAACGTAAGAGATTTATTTCTGGAGGGGTTGAACCAGAGTTCTGTACTTGCAAATGACAGATATACCTAAGTGCCAGGGCAAGGCATGGTACCAAAAAAATGCAGATAACCAATCAAGATCACTAGTTAAGGAAAATTTCTAACATGTAGTATGAAAAGGCCAAAATAAAGAAAAAAGGAACTCTGAGGATACAGTGACAATATGGGGAGTATAAGTGTTACACAAGGTGATGTGGAAAAAGAATCTCTTATTCCCCAGTGAGCTCATCAAAAAAACAGATTTAACACAATCTATTCTCCTTCTGTCAATTAATACTTCTGCCCTTTCTAGGCAAGGCTTTTATGACTACAGACTGTAATAGTTTAACTACAAGAAACACTTTCTTACCCCAGAAAACTCAATGTGGATATCATTATTTCAAGGCTATAAACCTTCAGACTTGACTCAGGGTCACTTCCCCCCACTTTACCAATCAGGATGTCACATACCATCCCCAAACAAGTTGCAGTAGTGAAATCTGTTCTTTTACAGGAGAACCAAACCAAAATTAGATCAAGTATATAATAAAAGTTAATTTTTTTTTATTAAAAACAAAAGACAACAACCACCTAGTCTGTTTTTCAAGCATGTACATAGAGTACACAGTATTACTCTTTGGAGTGACCTTTCTGTCCTGTTCTTCCAACCAAGACATTATCATTTTTTATAGTTTCTCATAATGGCATGATGTTCCACTGGGGAACATGATAAATATTCTCCATTTTTCAAACCAAAATATCAAATGTTCATATGTGGAGTTTCCAACACAAAATATTCTTCTAGTAGTTAATTTGTATATTTAAGAGTCCCTAAGAAAGATTTTTTAAAAATACAAATTACAGAAAAAAGCTAAAAATGTATCTCTACTGTTAAACATTTAAAAAATAAAGGCCACAAGAAGTAAGATTGACGTCTTCTCACAGCCTATTTTGTTCTTGTCTACAAAGGGGAATCTCTTTATTTTTTCTTTTTTAAAAATTTCTTTCCCAGTATAATCAAATCATACACTAAGAGGTTTTAGGTTTCTATTATACATTCTTTCCATTGGAATATTACAAGAGGTGTAATTTTCACTTGACAGAATAAACACAATCAAGTTCTGTGTCTAAGTCATAGAGCCCCATGAATTCCTAACATTTTAACTGCAATTCAATTATTTATTCTGTAACAATGAGGTAATAAACCAGGTACTAAGCAGCAATGTAGACCAACAAGATCCTTGTTCCCAAAAAACTCAAATTATCTGCAGTAAAGGACCAGTTGCTAATTGTTTTTTTAAAAAATTTCTATTCATTGGCCAGGCGCAGTGGCTCATGCCTGTAATCCCAGCACTTTGGGAGGCCGAGGCGGGTGGATCACCAGGTCAGGATATCGAGACCACCCTGGCTAACACGGTGAAACCCCATGTCTATGAAAAATACAAAAAATTAGCCAGGCTTGGTGGCGGGCGCCTGTAGTCCCAGCTACTCAGGAGGCTGAGGCAGGAGAATAGCATGAAGCCGGGAGGCGGAGCTTGCAGTGAATCGAGATCAGTCACTGCACTCCAGCCTGGGCGACAGAGCGAGACTCCATCTCAAAAAAAAAAAAAATTATATTCATTGTGGACCAGCAATTTTTAAGATACAATTAAGTTTCTAGTCCTAGTGCAGTAACTCGTGCCTGTAATCCCAGAGCTTTAGGAAGCTGAGGCAGGAGGATTGCTTGAGCCCAGGAGTTCAAGGTTGCAGTGAACTGTGATCAGGCCACCTGGGGGACAGAGTTAGAATCTGTCTCTAAAAATAACAATAATTTTTATAAAGTTTCCAGAAAAAAAAGGCATACAAAATAAAATCCCAAACGTTTCATTACTAGAGTCAATAGACATAAAATTATTCTGCTAAGTTGCTACACAAGTTTCTAAATGCTTAGTTTTCTTTTATTATCTCAATCCCAGCAGCCCCGTAACTACACTTTAAGCAGTACTGCTATAAACTCCTACCACACAGAGAGGCATTGCTGCACATTTCTTAATCTACGACTGTGCTTTATCCGGGAAGAGCAGGCATTTTTTTTGTATTTTTATTTACTCATATCTTTCTTTTATCCAGACACATTTTCCACAGTTTAGAGTCTGTGCAAATCTTCCTGGCCTCCTGCCACTCACAGCAATCTTGATCCATCTTTGAGATTCCTCACTTCATTCCTAAAAAAACTAATGATCTGCCCCAAATTATATATTAACTGTGAAACTTTGCATTTTCTAGTAATTCATTTCTCCCTTTGGTTCCAAATATTTCAATTCCTTAAAAGAAAAACAAAAACAAACAAAAAAACAGTGCTTAAAAGTACTTTGTGTCTAGAATTATAAGGGAGACTTTAAAAAGTATCGTTTTTGTGATAAATACTCTTAGAAAGGTAATGAGTACCCAGTCACTGAAGGGTGGTGTCTGCCTTTCATTTTTCTTTTCAGGCTGGGATAGGGATAGTGTGTGGGTGGGTGGGCAGTGTTCCCACACAGCTAGCCAGAGAAGGGACCAGGGAGCTGCTACAATCCCAGTTCCACTGTCTTGGTCCTGAAACCTGAATGGAGGCCGGGCACAGTGGCACACGCCTATAATCCCAGTGCTCTGGGAGGCTGAGGCAGGCGGTTCACCTGAGGTCAAGAGTTCAAGACCAGCCTGGCCAACATGGCGAAACCCTGTCTCTACAAAAATACAAAAATTAGCCAGGCATGATGGCGGGTGCCTGCAATCCCAGCTACTCAGGAGGCTGAGGCAGGAGACTTGCTTGAACCTAGGAGGCAGAGGTTGCAGTGAGCCGAGATCATGCCATTGCACTCCAGCCTGGGTGACAGAGCGAGACTCCGTCTAAAAAGAAAAAAAAGAAAAACTTAATGGAAGGAAGTCTGATGTTTCCCCAGAACAAATGCTCAAAGCAGTCACTACTCACTGGCACTCTAGCTGGACCTTGCTCCTGGGCAAGTGCTACAAAGAAAAACACCTCTAAGGTGGTGGGAAGAAGAACGGGACACTGAGAAAAAGGGGGAATACAGTGCTGCTGGGAATGGTTAGGTAACTGATGGCTCCGGCCCTCCCTCAAATTTCTAACATAAAAAGATGTTGGTACTGGGAAGAGAAAATAAGAACACCATAACAGGCTGGCTGCAGTGGCTCACGCCTGTAATCTTGGCACTTAGGGAGGCCGAGGCGGGTGAATTATTTGAGCCCAGGAATTTCCAGACCAGCCTGGGCAACATGGCAAAATCCCATCTCTATTAAAAAATACAAACAAATTTAGCCAGGCATGGTGGCCCCTTGCCTGTAGTCCCAGCTACTTGGGGGGCTGAGGTGGAAGGATCACTTGAGCCCAGGAGGTCAAAGCTGCAGTGAGCCGAGATCACAGCACTGCACTCCAGCCTGGGTGACAAAGTGAGACCCTGTCTCAAAAGAAAAAAAGGAACAACAATAAGAACACCATAACAAATAAATATTATTTTTGGTGCATTGACAATTGTGTATAAATCAACACTTCATTAATATGAGAACAGAAGGATATCAATTTGTTGGTTGCTGACCAATATTATCAACAATTCAAGGCTTTACTAACAACCAACCAATGATTTGGCAGGTCTCTCAAACGAGGGGAAATAAAGAATTTTATGAATTCTCAAAGATGGAAAATAGAAAACTGATGACCACACAGCCTTCAAAACTTGCCCAATACCTCTAATATCCACGGCAATCAGTTGCTCACGTAAGGAACCAGCATTTTGTGGAGTAGTAGTTAATAAAGATGACAAGTGAAGAATAGAGAATAAACTTAAATTCTACAAAGATATGAAAAGTTATTGAGGCACAAGTCCAAAGGCTATAATAAAGAAAAAAGAAAAAAAGTTTTGAAAAATTAAAATGTAAATAAAGATGTGGTGGGAGATCTATCAGGGAAGTGCAGGAAGAACCAAGCAACTCACAAACCACCCTCTGGCTGGATGTGCACAGCCTGCCCAGTCCCGTCCGGCGAGTCACCTCAGTCCCATCCAGGTAAGGCCGGACAGGTGGCTCCCCAGGTGGCAAGAGGCAAGCGAGCGGCCCAGGTCATACACCGGGCCCCTGGCACCCTCAGCCTGGACAGGAAGGGCGCGCGGGATTCAGCCCAGACGAGGGAGGGAACGCGAAGACTCAGCCGGTCTGGGCGCGCCGTTCTGGCCCCAGGGCCCGCGGGTGCTGCAGGTGGCCGCGTCCAGGGCGGTAGGTGGGGCCTGCCCGCTCGCCTCCCGAGGCCGGACCCCGGGACTCAGCGAAACCCAGTCAGACCCGCGCCCCACGCCCGCCCCCAAGTCACCTTCTGCACGCTGGAGCCGCAGACCCGCGCCGCCCGGTCATAGACGTGGCAGCGGATCACAGAACTGCCCACATCCAGCCCCAGCACGAAGCCGGGGTACCGCGGCTCCTGCGCTCTCTGCTCCGGGTCCGTGAGCAGCCCCGACATCCCGATCCCGCACGCCTCTCCGCTACAGCCGCCTACCCAGAGGGCGCGCTACAAATCCCAATGCTCCAGAGTCCCCGGGCGGCCCAACCCGGGCCCCAACCCGGCTCAGCCGGAGAGCCTAGAGAGGCCTGGCCCCTGCCGCCGGCTCCACCCCGACGCCGTGACGCCACGGGCGCGCGCCGGCGGCCGCGCGGGAGGGGTGGAGGTGAGCGGGTTTGCGCCGTGATCTGCAGCCCCAGATCGCCAGCCATGCTCAGCCTCCAGTCGCCGGCCGCGGTTGGATTGACTTGGCCCTTAACTCTTGTTTTTTTTCTTTTTGAGACGGAGTCTCACTCTGTCGCCCCGGCTGGAGTGCGGTGGCGCGATCTCGGCTCACTGCAACCTCCGCCTCCCGGGTTCAAGCGATTCTCTTGCCTCAGCCTCCCGAGTAGCTGGGATTACAGGCGCGCTCCACCACGCCCGGCTATTTTTGTATTTTTAGTAGAGAAGGGGTTTCACCATGTTGATCAGGCTGGTCTCGATCTCCTGATCTCGTGATCCGCTCGCCTCGGCTTCCCAAATTGCTGCGATTGCAGGCGTGAGCCACCGAGCCCGGCGGCCCTTAACTCTTAATTTTTTCTTTTGCTTCTCCAGCTTCCTGAGAGGCAGCGCCAGCGTTTCTCTTAACCCTAGCTACATTTGAAGAATCTCTGTTAAAGAAAAATAGCTACCCCATATGCTAATCGTAAGGAGAGAAGTATAGGCTAGTTTATATAAAAATCTCAAAAAGTTTGGAGGTGCCATAAGGCACATTTATTCATTTCTCAACTATGATTATGACTTGAGGGTTGGAGAAATTTTTATCTGAGTAACTTTGGCAGACTAACCTGTGTCTGCGTTCGTGCAGAATTTTTCAAGCTTAAAACATTTGTAGAGGTCACTACCATATATAGTTTCCATTTTTTTGCTAACATTTTGGGTGCGACTTTATTTCAGTATTATTAAATGCACAGCCATTGAATATGCTAGAGTTAAATGAAATAAAGTGCTGTTTTTCAAAAATGAAATAAAACAAGTGACATAAAAAATTCAAAATTTGGCCAAAAGTATTAATATTTATTAACAAACTGAGAGCTCCCCACGACTTCTCTTCCCAGAAAACCTGGTAAAGTTTGCACACAATACAAAGCGGTAAATATTTGCCAAATGAAATACAACGCAAGGAAGAAGACTTTTCTCAGCCCTCTAGTGGGAAAGAAAGGAGAAAGCTTAAGGTGGCTGCTTTGACCATCACACTCCACTCCAGCGGTTGCTTTTTTTTGGAATCTGAAAGCCTCACAGAGACCCTTTACCTTTTGTTGCTGCCCAAGGGGATGGGCTCATCCAGACACTTGGCCAAAAGGAACAAGGTGTCCTGTGGAAATTTCGAGATTCTTGCGGCTTAGGTTCCTGGGCCTGGAGCTTTCCCGGGGAGGGTCCTGATCTGCAAGTAGTGGGGAGGTGGTTCCACCTGCGCCACCCACCTCTCCACTGCCACCAGCAATCTGTGAAGCCGGGGCCTGAAAATATTCCTTATCTTCTTTTTGTAAAATTAGCAAACATATGAATATATGTTTTGTGTGAAAACGTTTAACAGTGCCAACTGGTATGTCAATTAAAAGGTAAAAGATAATCATTTTGGCTGGGCGCGGGGGCTCACGACTGTAATCCCAGCACTTTCGGAGGCCGAGGCGGGCGGATCACTTGAGGTCAGGAGTTTGAGAGCAGCCTGGGCAACATGGTGAAACCCCGTCTCTACAAAAATACAAAACTTAGCCGGGCGTGGTAGCGGGCTCCTGCAATCCCAGCTACGGGGGAGGCTGAGGCAGGAGAATTACTTGAAGCCGGGAGGCGGAGGTTGCAGTGAGCCGAGATCATGCCACTGCACTCCAGCCTGGGCGACAGAGCAAGACTCTGCCTCAAAATACATACATACATACATACATACATACATACATACATACATACATACTTACATACATACATACATACATACTCATTTTGAATCAAAACTTTTTTTAGACAGGGTCTTGCTCTGTCGCCCAGGCTGGAGTGCTGTGGTGCCATCTCAGCTCACTGCAGCCTCGACCTCCCGGGCTCAGGCGATCCAACTGCCTTAGCCTCCCATGTAGCTGGGACTACAACCACCACGCCCGCCTAATTTTTGCATTTTTTTGTAGAGACTCTGTTTCGCCATATTGGCCAGGCTGGTCTTGAGCTCCTGGCCTCAAGTGATCCTCCCACCTTTGTCTCCCAAAGTGCTGGGATTATGGGTGTGAGCCATTGTGCCCAGCCAAATCATTCTTTTTTTTTTTTTTTCTTTTTTGAGACGGAGTTTTGCCCTTGTTTGCCCAGGCTGGAGTGCAGTGCTGCGATCTCGGCTCACTGCAACCTCCGCCTCCCGGATTCAAGCGATTCTCCTGCCTCAGTCTCCCAAGTTGCTGGGACTACAGGCCCTCTCCACCATGCCCAGCTAATTTTTGTATTTTTAGTAGAGACGGGGTTTCACCATGTTAGCCAGGATGGTCTGGATCTCCTGACCTCGTGATCCGCCCGCCACGGCCTCCCAAAGTGCTGGGATTACAAGCGTGAGCCACTGCACAGGGCCAAGTCATTCTTTTGACCAAATTGTCGTGTTAATCAACTTGCTTTCAGACAATTTGACAAAATTGGCTCTTTGGCCATACAACGTGAAGCTTGGAACATACACCTGGAAGAGTATGTTTTTTTTCTTTGTACCCTGTTCAACAGTACTGATTTGTTCCAAGTGGCCTCAAGGACTGACTGCCTTCACCAGTGCTGGCCATTTTGGTCGTGTGTGTGTGTGAATTATTGTAATTCGAAATAAATGACTAATGGGTCCAGTACTTGTCAGGGTTCTACAGAGAAATAGAAACAATAGGATAGAGAGAAAGAGAAAGAGAGGTTTATTATTTTCAGGAATTGCTTCATGTGATTGTGAGGGCTGGCAAGTCCTGGATATTTGTGGGGCAGGCTAGCAGGCTGGAAACTCAAGAAGAGTTTCCATGTTGCAGTTTTGAGGAGACTTCCTTCTTTGGGAAACCTGTCTTTGTTCTTAAAGCTTAAAACCAATTGTATGAGACTCACCCAGGTTATGAAGGGTGATCTGCTTTACTCAAAGTCTACTAATTTAAATGTTAATTATTTCTAAGAAATACCTTCACAACAACACCTAGACTGGTGTTTGACCGAACAGCTGGGCATACAGTGTGTCTAACTAGCCTAGCCAAGTTCACACATAATAGTAACCATATCAGTTCCCCATTCACAACAGAGAAAACGGCTTTGTATTACCTGATGTTAATATTTAGTATATTTCTCAAAGTGATATTTCTTGGCTTCTTGAAACCTGACACTTCCTTAATGATCCTTTTTATAAATTCAAATAAATTATATTGAGTATTATCAAATCATAGAATTTGAAAACAGGGGCCTTAGAAACCACTTAATCTAGTGTTTCTCAAATTGTTTTCAGATCTTGAACAACTTTGAGGCCATAATGAACACTATCTTCCCAAGAAGATGCTTATACACACAAAATTTTGCACATAACTTCAGGTGCTGGGTGTTGGGTAAAGCAAACATAAAGATCTCAGATAAAAATCAAGATCTTATTTCACTGTTGAGTAGGAGAGGCCTGGGAGAACAAAGAGATACCTGTTTCTCCCACTTGCTTTGTTCTCTGTCAGCACCTCTAACCCTGCTCTTCTCTAAGGGAAAGGAGTATATGGGCAACAAGGCACAGGGCTCAGAGGCTTCTAAGGCCTTTGATAGCTGGTCAGTCATTCTTTTTTCTTAATTTTTAAAAAATTTTATGGATACATAGTAGGTGTATATATTTTTGGGTTACATGAGATATTTTGATACAGGCATGATAATCACATCAAGGTAAATAGGGTATCTTTTATGTCAAGCATTTATCCTTTGTGTTGCAAACAATCAAATTATACTCTTATTTTTAATGTACAACTAAATTGACTGTATCAAAAAATAGTCGATGTTGGTGTGAATGTGGTGAAAGGGGAACACAGACTGCTGTTGGGAATGTAAATTAGTACAGCCTCTATGAAAAACAGTGTGGAGATTCCTTAAAAGAGCTAAAAGTAGATCTACCATTTGATCCAGGATTCCCATTACTGGGTATCTACCCAAAAGAAAATAAGTCATTATATGAAAAATACACCTACACAAATATATTTATTATGGCACAATTCACAATTGCAAAGATATGGAACCAACCTAAGTGCCCATCAACTAATGGGTGAATAAAGAAAATATGGTATATATATATACACACACTATGGAATACTACTCAACCATAAAAAGGAATCAAATAATGTCTTACAGCAACTTGGATGGAGCTGGAGCCCATTATTCTAAGTGAATTAACCCAGGAATGGAAAACCAAAGAAGTAGGAGCTAAGTACACAAAGGTACACAAAGTCATATAACGGACTTTGGAGACCCAGAAATGGGAGGGTGGGACGGGGGTGTGTGATAAGAAGCTACCTACTGGGTACAATGTACACTACTCAGGTGACTGGTACACTAAAATGTCAGAATTCACCACTATATAATTCATCCATGTAACCCAAAACCACTTGTACCCCAAAAGCTATTGAAATAAAAAAATGTGATTTTTAACTATAGACACCCTGTCGTGCTATCAAATACTAGATCTTATTACTCCTTCCATTTTTTATACCTATTAGCTATCCTCACTTCCCCCGGCCCTACCCCTCACCCCTGTCCACTACCCTTCCCAGCCCCTGGTAACCATCCTTCTACTCTCTATCTCCATGAGTTCAATTATTTTAATTTGTAGCTCCCACAAATAACTGAGAACATGTGAACTTTGTCTTTCTGTGCCTGGCTTATTTCACCTAACATAATGACCTCCATTTCCATCCAAGTTGTTGTAAATGACAAGATCTCATTTTTTTAATGGCTGAATAGTACTCCATTATGTGTAATACCATATTTTCTTTATCCATTTCATCTGTTGATGGACAGTTAGGTTGCTTCCAAATGTTGGTTATTGTGAATAGTGCTGCAATAAACATGGGAATGCAGATAGCTCTTCGATGTACTGATTTCCTTTCTTTGGGGTAGTCCATTGTTATTGATTCAGAGGCCACTGCTGCTGTGTGCTGCATTACCTGGTGGCCTTATCTTTCATCTGACCCAGCTGCTACATCTTAGATTCTGGGCTGGACTGCTCTCCCAGGCTGCTTCTCCACCACTGCCACTTCTTACACGTTACCTTCTTAAGCAGGCCCAGGATTACAAATCCTTGTACCAGCCTCCCACACTCTCAAGAAATTTGATTGCAGCTCCTCAGGGCTCGATCAGAAATCGTGTAAAGGTCATCATTCCCTGTCACACCCCAAAGGGAAATGAATGGTGCCTCAGGACTGATCCCAGTGACCTCAATGCCCTCCTTCCTCCAAAGAAACTAGTCAGTGTCCCTTCCTCCTAGGGTGACCAACAATCCCAGTTTTCCCTTGACTGAGGAATCTCTTGGAACACAGGACTTTGTTAAAATCAGGAGTTGGTAGGGCAAGCTGGAACAGTTGGTCATCCTACTCCTTTCAGAAGCTCCAAGTGCTCCTACCAATGTTTTAGGGCCTAATCATCATCCCAACCTCCTCTTCACTAGTCTTCCTAGAGGCTCTTGGGTTCTGCAAGTAACTTCCTTTGGGGACTCTGGCTACATCATGTTTTGGTGTCAGTTGCTGGTTTTAGACAGTGAACTCCTTCAGAGCAGGGATGGGGCCTTAGTCTTTTTTCCTCAAGGCACAGAAAGTATTCAGTGACTTGGCCGAGCGCGGTGGCTCACCCCTGTAATCCCAGCAGTTTGGGAGGCCAAGGCAGGTGGATCACTTGAGGCCAGGAGTTCAAGACCAGCCTGCCCAACATGGCAAGACCCCATCTCTACTAAATATACAAAAATTAGCTGGGCATGGTGGCCCATGCCTATAATCCCAGCTACGTGGGAGGCTGAGGCATGAGAATCACTTGAACCCGGGAGGCAGAGGTTGCAGTGAGCCAAGATCGCACCACTGCACTCCAGCCTGGGCAATAGAGCGAGACTGTCAGAAAGAAAGAAAGAGAGAAAGAGAGAGAGAGGAAGAAAGGAAGCAGGGAAGGAAGGAAGGAAGGAGAAAAGAAGGGAAGGAAGGAAGAAAGAAAGGAGAAGAGAAGAGAGAGGAAGGAGAGAGAAAGAAAGGAAGAAAAGAAAAGGAAGGGGAAGGAAGGAAGGAAGGAAAAGTATTCAATGACTGAATAAACAAACAAATATGTACAAGTCCCTACCAGACCTCATCTTCTGCCTGACTTGGCCACAAGACATAGAGGGCACTGGGCCCCTCCTAATCTCTGCACTATGCTGGGCACATTGTAATGTGACCACCAATGCAGATCATCCAACCTGAACAGGCCTGGGGTTGAGCTAGCTTCCCTGAATAACCACATGAACATTAAGCCACCTCCTTTTTCTTAACCCTTGTTTTATGAGCCCTGCCTCTTTTGGAGTGGACAGCTGTCTCAGTTTCCTGATTTGACTGTCTGGAGCCCAGACCCCTCTCTCTGCAGGACAGAGGTAGATGAGCTGTGGAGTTAATGAAGCTTAAGCTTCAGGCCCCTCCCTGGCATGGGCCCCTGCCAAGACCCTGAGAAGAGCCCTAGCAAACTGTTCACAGTCTATGCTTTAAAGCATTTGAAAAGTGAAATATTTTTGTTTGTTTATTTGTTTCCTTAAAGGGGGTTCCCCAGGTTTTACAAGCTTCAGGTCCTGTAAAACCTTAATTTTTCCCCCCACTTATATACTCCTCAGAAATTCATCCTTTTCTAAGGCCTGGACTCCCTCTCCTGGATCCCCATGTTGTGGTCTGGAAGGCTGCCATGTACCCACTCTTGAGTACCAGAACTCCCCACTCACCATTCTGAAGCCCCTGGAGTGTGATACCTGCTAAGACTGTCTGTCCTCCCTTGACAACTGTTACATGCAAAATGTTCGTTTTTCAGTACCGCAAGGAAAAATCAACATTTAGACAAAAAGTTTCCTCAGCAAAGTAATTTTACTTTCTGCAGAAAGGGTGCTGCCCCTTAGCAATCCTGCCATGAGAGCACAATGAACAAAGGAAAGGCAGGCATATTTATTCCTTACACATTGGGTCCTTACTGCTGTGTCTGATCTCTGTTGGTTGGAGCCAAACCTCACAATCTAAACTGAACCCGATTGGCTAACAGCTTAAAAACTTTTGTAAATAGGTTTTGAAGAAAGTTAGTCTTTAAGAGAAACTATTATTTCTAACATGTATTATTATTATTATCCTCTAACAAGAAGGGAAACTTTGAAGAGGAACTTTTTACTTTCCACAACAACTCTTGAGTATTACAGTTGTAAACACTGGCTTCCGGGCCGGGTGCGGTGGCTCACGCCTGTAATCCCAGCACTTTGGGAGGCCAAGGCAGGTGGATCACGAGGTCAGGAGTTTAAGACCAGCCTGGCAAACATAGTGAAACCCCGTCTCTACTAAAAATACAAAAATTGGCCGGGTGTGGTGGTGTGCGCCTGTAGTCCCAGCTACTTGGGAGGCTGAGGCAGCAGAATCGCTTGAACCCAAGAGGCGGAGGTTACAGTGAGCCAAGATGGTGCCATTGCATTACAGCCTGGGTGACACAGTGACACAGCGAGACTCTGTCTCAAAACAAACAAACAACAACAACAAAAAGAACACTGGCTTCCTTCCTTGGCACCACCTCTTTCAGCAGGCTAATTCCCTAAAGACTCAACCCAGGCCTATTCCTCACCACTTAACAGTCCTAGCCTTGAAGGCTGGCCTTGAACACCCTTCTTCGATGAAGTCCTAGCCTGCCTTGCTGTTAAGCCCATTCACTTCCTGAAGCAGTCGAACCAGAAGGAATGAGACCCAGAAACTTCAAATTCTCAGGACCAATGTCCATCAAGATCTGAAGATAAAAGAGGACTTTGAGTTAGACCAAAATCAAGGGGAGAATTGGAAATTGAAAAGTAGAATAACAACACCAGAAAACCTAGACTAAAGGAAATTACTTCATAAATCAAACGAATAAACACTGAGTTCCTCATGCTTCCTAGAAACCAAAGCATGAAAGGGAGTATGAATTTTCTATCAGAGAGAAAGAAGTCATGTGAGGTGAGTGACTGCTGTGCCGAATACTGTGTTTGTCCTTACACGTACAATCCTGTATGTTCTCTTACTTAATTCGCTCCAGAACTCAATAACGGTCACTATGTTGTTACAGTAGGGAATAACCCCTCAAGGCTGCACAGACAGTACATGATGAAAGCAGGATCTTTTCCCCTATACAGTAGTTCTTCAGAGGGGCTGAAACATCCAGTGTTTCCAGAGGTAAACAATGAGGACTTACCCTGCCACCCAGATATGTTTGTGCAAACTTGACAGCATAGATGCCACTGTGTCCAAGGCTGGCTTTTTCCAGCCTTCCCAGAGAGAGCTGAGTAGCGACTTGCCTGCCTAAATCTTAAGCGGGTCTGGGGGAAGTGATGGCTTCCCCATGGCTAAGCTGCAGGGAGACTTGGAAAGGGTTACCGTTTAATCCAGGGAAACCAGAGTCACAAAGCCACACCTGGCCAATTATCTGCCCATCTCCATGCCCTTAAGAGGCATCCAGTGTCAGAAACATGAGCAGGCTTCTTCCTCCCTCTCTTAAATTCTCCCCTCCTGAAGTGTATTGAGTGACAGGAATTCTTTTCATTCATTCACTTACCGATCTGTACAGGTCGTGGGCAGGAAGGAGCCACTTGGGGCACAGGTTTTGTGGACTCACTTTTTATGTTTATGAACAGCCAAAGCCTGGAAAGTTCTAAAGAGAGGCCACTGCCTAAGAAGAGCATCTGTCGTCTCATCTCAGTCGCTATGTTTTACTTATGGTCAGATGTCTTTTCCTTAACTAGGGACATTGTAACATCTCAAGTGAGTGAGTTCTGTGGATTAAGAGTTAAACCACATTAGAGTTTGGCTGAAAACATTTGTGAATACATGGATACAGATAAAACTTTATTTTTTGAGGAAAATGTTTGTATAAGGCAATTAAAATCCAAGGTAAAGAAAGATTATACAAGGCCAGGCGCAGTGGCTCACCTGTAATCCCAGCACTTTGGGAGGCCAAGGCAGGCAGATCACCTGAGGTCAGGAGTTTGAGACCAGCCTGACCAACATGGAGAAACATTGTCTCTACCAAAAATACAAAATTAGCCGGGCACGGTGGCGCATGCCTGTAATCCCAACTACTCGGGAGGCTGAGGCAGGAGAATCGCTTGAACCCGGGAGGCGGAAGTTGTGATGAGCCAAGATCACCACACCAAGATCACGTCATTGCACTCCATCCTGGGCAACAAGAGTGAAACTCCATCTCAAAAAAGAAAAAAAAGAAAGAAAGAAAAAAAAGAAGGATTATACAGAAGAAAATGCAAAAAATAAGGGAAGTTACTAGATTGAAGATATATTTGAACATCTTTTTTTTTTTTTTCTTTTTGAGACAGGGTCTTGCTCTGTTACCCAGACTGGAATGCAGTAGTACAGTCATAGTTCACTGCAACCTCAACCTCCTGAGCTTAAGTAATTCTCCCACCTCAGCCCCCCAAATAGCTGGTCTACACATTTGCACTACTGTGCCCAGCTAATATTTTTCTTTTTTTGTAGAGACAGTGTCTCCCTATATTGCTCAGGCTCAAGGTGTGTATGTATGTATGTATGTATGTATATATATATATATATATATATATTTTTTTTTTTTTTTTTTTTTTTTTTTTGAGACAGAGTCTCACTCTGTCACCCAGGCTGGCATGCAGTGCAGTGGTACGATCTTGGCTCACTGCAACCTCCGCCTCCTGGGTTCAAGTTATTCTCCTGCCTCAGCCACTTGAGTAGCTGGGACCAGCGGTGCATGCCACCATGCCCAGCTAATTTTTTGTACTTTTTTTTTAGTAGAGACGGGGTTTCACCGTGTTAGCAAGGATGGTCTCGATCTCCTGACCTCAAATGATCCACCCACCTCAGCCTCCCAAAGTGCTAGGATTACAGGCATGAGCCACTGTGCCCGGCCCAAGGTATATTTTTAATAGTAAAGAATACTATCTTAGCCTTTTGCCTAAGAAAACTCTTCCCCACACAGGGTTGCTTAACCTCTATCAACATAAAGTTTCTTCTCAAATGGGATTGTTTTCATTTTAAGGTCAGATTTATTGAAATGTACAGTTATGAGTTTTGACAAGTGTATACAACCATGTAACCACCCCATCCCTACCAAGATAAATAATATTTCCATCACTCCAAGAAGCCCTCTATGCACATAGGACTCAACTCTTTATAGTGAGCATAAGGTGATGTCATCTGCATATATAAAACTCAGAATTCTGGAGTTGAAAAGATTGATCTGGGCTAGGCACAGTGGCTTATGCCTGTACTCCCAGCACTTTGGGAGGCTGAGGCAGGTGGATTACCTGAGGTCAGGAGTTTGAGACCAGTGTGGCCAACGTGGTAAAACTCCATCTCTACTAAAAATACAAAAATTAGCAGGGCATGGTGGCAAACACTTGTAATCCCATCTACTCAGGAGGCTGAGACATGAGAGTCACTTAAACCCGGGAGGCAGAGGTTGCAGTGAGCCAAGATCGTGCTACTGTGCTCCATCCTGAGTGACAGAGCAAGACCCCGTCTCAAAAAAAAAAAAAGAAAAAGAAATAAAAGATTGATCCATAATTTTAATACAGCACATCTGAAAAAGTTGCAGTTTCCAGGCTGACTTCAAATGAGCTCTTAGTTCTGATAACATTCAGGCAGGATGTGTGGACCTAGGGACTTTGACCCTAATGATACTTTTATGTAAAGCTAAGCATAATAAAGTACTTGATATGGTTGTTAGCAACCCAGATATTTATTCTTTTTTTTTTTCTTGTTGAGACAAGGTCTCACTCTGTCACCCAGGATGGAGTGCAGTGTCACAATCTCAGCTCACTGCAACCTCTGCTTCCTGGGCTCAGGTGATCCTCCCACCTCAGCCTCCAGAGCAGCTGGGTCTACAGGCATGTGCCACCATGCCCAGCTAATTTTTGTATTTTTTTTTTTTGTAGAGTGGGGTTATGCCATGTTGCCCAGGCTGGTCTCAAACTCCTGGACTCAAGCCATCTGCCCTCCTTGAACTCCCAAAGTGCTGGGATTACAGGTGCGAGCCACCATACCCAGCCACATTTATTTATTTATTATTTATTTTAGATACAGGGTCTTGCTCTGTTGCCTAAGCTGGAGTGCAGTGGCAACATCCACGATCATAGCTCACTGCAACCTCCAAGTCGTGGGCTCAAGCAATCCTCCTGCCTCAGTCTCCCAAGTAGCTAGGACTATAGGTGCACACCGCCACACCTGAGTAACTTTTAAAAATTATTTTTTGTAGAGACAAGTCTCGCTATGTTGCCCAGGCTGCTCTCAAACTCCTGGGCTCAAGCAGTCCTCCTGACTTGGCTTCCCAAAGTGCTAGGATTACAGGCATGAGCCACCATGCCCAACCAGCAATGAGGACATTTAGTAGGTACGTTCAGATTTTATCCTGTCAAGGAAAAAAAGCCCTACTTTAAAAATATACTTAGTACAGACTATATTTCACAAATTGTAGCTCTAGCTTTCCATCATGCTTTATTACTATAAAGGAGAGTAGAACTTAGAATGAATAAAACCTAATTGATTCAAATGCAAACGAAAGTAGAAATAAAGACTGTAAGCAGTATACACTGATTTTTAACTGAAAAAGGATCATACTCGGCTGGGCATGGTGGCTCATGCCTATAATCCCAGCACTTTGGGAGGCTGAGGCAGGCGGATCACCTGAGGTCAGGAGTTTGAGACCAGCCTGGCCAACATGGCAAAACCCCATCTCTACTAAAAATACAAAAATTAGCCAGGCGTGGCGGCATGAGCCTGTAATCCCCACTACTTGGGAGGCTGAGGTGGAAGAATTGCTTGAACCCAGGAGGCAGAGGTTGCAGTGAGCAGAGATTGCACTATTGCACTCCAGCCTGGGCATTAAGAGAAAACCTCATCTCAAAAAAAAAAAAAAAAAAAAAAAGAATTATACTCGATTCTCATTACTCACAGTAGTTATGTTCTGTAACATCACTGGCAACCCCGAATTAGCAAATATTGAACCATTTTTCCTAGAGGAAATACAGGGTTAGCTTCCTGTAGGCCCCTGGTCACATTTTCTTGAATCGATTAATACACAACCTTGTATTATATGTCCTGCTTAAAGACATCCTATTTAATACATAGTTGGTTAATTAACATTGAACCTAGTATCTCCCCTGAACAAAGCTTATCTAACACATATTCTCTCCTACAATGACATAGCCTTCTTATGCTTAGGAACACTGGTGAACATTTTAGCACTACACTTGGAACTATTTTAAACAGTGAAATCACCAACAAAAAGCATAAAATGTGAAAAATATGGCTCTAAACAGACACTGAAAAGGACACCAGTTTACAAACAGGAAGGCAAAGATCATCTTATTTGAGGTCAGCTGGGAACATGCATGTTGAGTGACTCAGATTTTTCACAACTCTATACATGTCCACAAATTACCCTGAAAACACTACAAGTTATTTATTTTTTTAATGGGAAATGTTACACTGTACATTTGGGGGTTACAAATAAATGTTAGTGAGCAGACTAATTCACAAATGGAGAATCAAAGAATAATGAGGATAAACTAACTGATAATTTCTTTCTTTCTTTCTTTTTAGATGGAGTCTTGCTCTGTCACCCAGGCTGGAGTGCAATGGCAAGATCTTGGCTCACTGCAACCTCTGCCTCCCAGGTTCAAGTGATTCTCCTGCCTCAGCCTCCCAAGTAGTTGGGATTACAGGTGCCAGCCACTACTCCTGGCTACTTTTTGTATTTTTTAGTAGAAACGGGGTTTTGCCATGTTGGCCAGGCTGGTCTTGAACTCCTGACCTCAGGTGATCTGCCTGCCTCAGCCTCCCAAAGTGCTGGGATTACAGGCGTGAGCCAACACGCCTGGCTATAATTTCATTTTTAAGATTTGAGAGTTCTGTAATCATCACCTAAAACTCTCCCTCTTTTAGATATATTATCTTAATGTAGTATTAAGAAAAATCATGCTTGTTAAAATAAAGATAATAAGAAAAAACATTTTTGGTTGAAGGTAAAAAGATCTTATTCCAAGGCCGGGTATGGTGGCTCACACCTATAATCCCAGCACTTTGGGAGGCCGAGGAGGGCGGATCACAAGCTCAGGAGTTCAAGACCAGCCTGATCAACATGGAGAAACCCAGTCTCTACTAAAAATACAAAATTAGCCGGGCATGGTAGCACATGCCTGTAATCCCAGCTACTTGGGAGGCCGAGGCAGGAGAATCGCTTGAAGCCAGGAGGTGGAGGTTGCGCTGAGCCGAGATCATGTCATTGCACTCCAGCCTGGGCAACAAGAGTGAAACTCCATCTCAAAGAAAAAGAAAAAGAAAAAAAAAAGATAAAGATCTTATTCCATTTATATGCACCTATTTCTTTATTATATATTCAAAAGTCAGGCATGATAAATAGGGAAGAACATTACCAGTGGTCATGAGAGAATCTTCAACACAGATGGCCTCACATGATTTAGTATGATTAAAACTTAATAGGATATTAGGAACTATGACAAAGTAATTCACATGCTGGGTTTCAGATGATTCAATTACAAGTAATTATAAAATCGGTTTGTTTTTAATTGTGTGTTTTATTTTAGTGAAGGAGAAAAATATTTTTATGAGCTTCCTGTTCATCTAAATAACACTCTTGAGTGCTAATGATCTTCTTATGGCTCAACTTCTTTTATCAATCCTGAGAAAAAAACAATAATCAGAGCGCTCAGGAACAGTCTAGTTTATAGCTCTGAAGTAGGCAGACAATGGCCTCCCCTGCCAAAGATGTCCAGGTCCTAATCCCCAGAACCTGTGAATGTGTTGCCTTACATGGAAGAAGGGATTTTGCAGATGTGATTAAATTAAGATCTTGAGATGGGAGGATTATCCTGGATTCTGTGGATGGGCTCAATGTAATCACAAGGGTCTTTATAAGGATAAGAGGGAGGCAGAGCTTCAGAGAAGCAGCTGTGATGACAGAATCAGGGGTTGGAGTGATGAAATTGTTGGAAGGGGGCCATGAACTAAGGAATGCAGGAGACAGCAAGGAATGAAGTCTACCCTAGAGTCTCCAGAAGAAACGTATACCTGCCAGCACGTTGATTTTACCCTGTAAGACCCATTTCGGACTTCTGGGCTCTAGAAATGTGAGATGGTAAATGTGTGTTGCTTTAAGAGATGAAGTTTGTAATAATTTGTTTTTTGTTTGTTTGTTTGTTTGTTTTTTGAGACAGATCTCACTCTGCTGCCCAGGCTGGAGTGCAGTGGCATGATCTTGGCTCAGTGCAGCCTCTGCCTCCCAGGTTCAAGCGAATCTCCTGCCTCAGCCTCCAGAGTAGCTGGGACTACAGGTGCATGCCACCACACCCAGATAATTTTTTGTATTTTTAGTAGAGAGAGGGTTTCACCATGTTGGCCAGGCTGGTCTTGAACTCCTGACCTCAGGGGATCCGCCTGCATTGCCCTCCCAAAGTGCTGGAATTATAGGCGTGAGCCACCATGCCCAGCCAAGTTTCTAATAATTTGTAAATGCAACTCTAAAATCCTTAGGCAGAAGAGACTGTCTTCTGGCATGACAGCATGAGAAAGCCCATAGACCCACTCCCTAGTAAAACCAGTGAAATTATAAAAACAAAATACACAATTTAAAGCCTCTGAAAATTGTCCTAAGGTCAAACAGCAAATGAAGAAACACCTACACAAGAAAGTCTATGAAAATTCAGTTAAAAAGAGTGACAGTCTGAGATACTTGAACGGAGACAGCTTCCTCGGTCCCCTCCTCCTCACTAAGCCAGACAGGAACTCCAGTACAGACAGAAGTCAAGAACACAGAGTTCCCGCCAGGTGCAGTGGCTCACGCCTGTAATCCCACCACTTTGGGAGGCCGAGGCGGGTGGATCACGAGATCAAGAGATCGAGACCATCCTGGCCAACATGGTGAAACCCCATCTCTACTAAAAATACAAAAAATTAGCCGGGTGTGGTGGTGGGCACCTGTAGTCCCAGCTACTCGGGAGGCTGAGGCAGGAGAATCACTTGAACCCGGGAGGTGGATTTTGCAGTGAGCCAAGATTGTGCCACTTGCACTCCAACCTGGCGACAGAGCGAGACTCCGTCTCAAAAAGAAAAAAGAACACAGGGTTGGTTCCCTTTCCTCTCAACTGCCGACACCACTTAGAGGGATTTAGGAGCACAACGTCAGCATTTTTCATCCTGTCTCCAGTTACTTTGTTGTTGAAGCTCAGTTCCAGATAAGTGCAGTTCATCCCTGGAGTGGAGGCTGTACCTTAGGCGTGATACTACTGAGCCTACTGGGGCCCTGGTCATCCTTGCCCAGGCTCACAGGTGGTCATGGGTTGGGCAACTAGAACAAAGGCTCTCCATCAAGGAAAGCAAGTATCCTGTGCCAGGCATATTTATTAAAAGCAAAACACGGGCAGGGCACGGTGCTCAGCCTGTAATCCCAGCACTTTGGGAGGCCGAGGCAGGCAGATCATGAGGTCAGGAGATCAAGACCATCCTGGCCAACATGGTGAAACCCCTCTCTACTAAAATTACAAAAATCAGCTGGGCGTGGTGGCGCACGCCTGTAGTCCCAGCTACTCAGGAGGCTGAGGCAGGAGAATGGCTTGAACCTGGGAGGCAGAAGTTGCAGTGAGCCAAGATCACGCCACTGCACTCCAGCCTGGGCGACAGAGGGAGACTCCGTCTCAAAGAAAAAAAAAAAAAAAAAAGGAAAACGCTTTGCCCACAGCCCCTAACCTCCTCATATGACTTATAGGATTTTCTCTTTGCTCTTGAGAGGTTAATAAGAAACAGGATGGGGTCTTGAAATTCGAAGGCATGCCAGGACAACCCTCCTTCAGGGACCCCAGCCGGCTGCATGTTTAAACATTATGGCGCATCCATGTGCATTTTTAAACTGACGTGAAGATTATACCAAAGATAATTTAGAGCTCCAATGGCCATTTTTTAGGATCGTTCCAACTCCCAAGCTTGTTTTCCTTAGAATTAAACTAGAAGACCATGGCTAGAGGGTCAAACAGTTCAAAGGGGATGCACTTTTTTTTTTTCTGAGACAGAGTCTCCCTCTGTGGCCCAGGCTGGAGTGCAGTGGCGCGATCTCGGCTCACTGCAAGCTCCGCCTCCCGGGTTCACGCCATTCTCCTGCCTCAGCCTCCCGAGTAGCTGGGACTACAGGCGCCCGCCACCACGCCCGGCTAATTTTTCGTATTTTTAGTAGAGACGGGGTTTCACCGTGTTAGCCGGGATGGTCTCGATCTCCTGACCTCGTGATCCACCCGCCTCGGCCTCCCAAAGTGCTAGGATTACAGTCGTGAGCCACCGCGCCCGGCCAGAGGATGCACATTTTAATTGGCATCTCAAGATTAGAAAATGCATTCAGGACTCAAAAGTTGCCTTCCTGCAAAATACTGTCTCAAAGCTAGCTGAGACTCCTTCCTCTCTAGAGCCTTCTGCTTCCTTTCCTACCACTCCTCCTCTTCTTTATCCTTCTCTAGATGAACTCCCTGAATTGACTAGTACATCCCTTTTTTCCTACGCTCTTCTTCTCTCCACAGCCACCAACTTAGCTTTTAATGTTTGAAACTTCTAGGGAAGTTCCAGTCAGGGGAAGTGAAGTCGTTAAAATATGCTATTCTGGTATATTGATTTTTAAAATTATAAACACTTAAAGAAGAGCAGGAGCAAAAAGGATCACTTTGATCTTCACACTGTTTCTTAGCACAGAAAATGAAATTCCCGTATGAAAGACATTCTCCCTATACTAGAAGGAAAGGCAACAACCTTATTTTCAAGAATGAGAAGCTGAGACTGAGAGAATACTGCACAGACCTTGTTGAAATAACTCTTATTTTTAACTCTCCCCACATAATTTAGTAATATTTTCACAGTTTACTATTCTTTCTCCAATCCATTATATTGGTAACTGACTCTAACTTCTTCCTTGGGGTCTTCATTTCCTTCTAAGGGCCCCATTTATAAGTTTACATAAAACTTGTATCATGTTTTTCTCCTGCTAATCTATCTTATATTGATTTAATTTTTGGAACCAGCCCAGAACCTAAAAGGATGAAAATGTAATTGTCTTTCCCTATACTTTCTGGTGATGAGAAAGAGACCCTAAAGCCTGGGACATCCTGCTTGTAATGAAGCCTACAGAAGGGATCCTGGGAGACCTGACATTCTTACCAAAGTCAGCTCCTCCATATCTCTGTCTGTAGTGCTTGTCTGAGAGAAGAAGATAAACATTTTTGTTTGTCCCTTCTTTTCTAGATTTGGATTACCAGGATAAAAACATCAATATGAATTGATTATTTAAATTGTGACTTTTGCGAATTTGGTTCTGGGTGCCCATTGATTATTAATCCAAAGTCTCCCAAAAATAGACCTTGTTTTTCCCCTCTCCCTCTTTTGTGTAATTTGTTGAAAGGAGAAAAATTATAATACATTTTCCTTTATGTCTTGAGAGCTTGGCTTTGTGACCAGTGAGAATAGGATATTCCCTCTGGTCTCCACCAGCCAGGGTCAGGGGTACAGGTTGTTGGGCTTGGGTCAGGTTGTTAGCCAGCTGGCTAAGAGAACAAAACACAAAATGCCTCTTTGTCTAACTGAGCCAGCTCTCAGGGGAATTTGTCTTAATTGTCTCAAGCTGTGTTGCCTTGTGAACAATGAGGATCTTTGCTTTGTTAGGCTATCTTGGGGAGAAAATTTGGATCTTCAGGGAGACTGCAACTTTTTTTTTTTTTGAAACAGAGTCTCGCTCTGTCACCCAGGCTGGAGTGCAATGGCGCAATCTCTGCTCACTACAATCTCCGCTTCCTGGGTTCATGCAATTCTCCTGCCTCAGCCTCCCGGGTAGCTGGAATTATAGACGCATGCCACCACACCTGGCTGATTTTTGTATTTTTAGTAGAGATGTTTAGTAGAGATGGGATTTCACCATGTTGACCAGGCTGGTCTCGAACTCCTGACCTCAGGTGATCCACCCATCTCGGCCTCCCAAAGTGCTGGGATTACAGGCATGAGCCACCTTGCCCAGCCAAGACTGCATCTTTTGCACCCTCTTTAGGGGCACTTCTCACATCCATGGTTAAGCCACAAAAAGCTTATTGGTTTAAGTGGCAATTGGACTAGGTATATCTTTGGAGATTTGGATTTTTGTATCCAAAAGTATATTTCTAAAAGAGCTCTCATCCTAAACAACTGTCCTATTTGTACCTATGGCTTGAAGGAAGAAAATAAATGCTTTTGTAAATTAAGCATTCTCTCAGAAAAATAGGAAATAACCCAAATATTTTTCAAGTTTACATGACCTGGGATGAACGTTAGTAAATAAAAAGCTTGTTTAAGTCTGTTGGTTTAATTAAAACAGGCACGTGTTTAGGGTTGTTAACATTAACTATAATGCAGACACACAACTGCTTGTACCTGGGTTTACTAATCAAAAACTCCTGTGGTTTAGGATGGTGCTATGGTTTGGTAAGTCCCTGCCAAAATGTTGAAATTTGATCCCCAGTGTGCCACTTTGGGGATATAGGGCTTTGTAGGAGGCGTTTGTGTCATATGGACAGATCCCTCATAAACAGATTAATGTTCTCCCTCAGGGGTGAGTGAGTTTTCATTCGCATGGGAATAGATTACTTCCTAAAAGAGTAGATTGTTAAAAAGAGTGGATTCCTGAGTTTCTCTCTCTTGCTTCCTTTCTTGCTATGTGATTTCTTGGTACATGCAAGCTCCTCTTCTGCTTTCCACTATGAGTTGAAGAAACCTGAGGCCCTCATCAGTTGTAGATGCCCAATCTTGAACTTTCCAGCCACCAGAATCATGAGTCTAATAAACTTATTTTCTTTATAAACTACCCAGTCTCAGCTACCATAGCAAATTAAGTGAACTAAGACATGTCATAAAATTATAAATAAATTTAACCTATGAACAAATACACAATAAAAATAAATTGCTTGATGTGTGTCAAACATGACATTTTTTAAAAGGAGAGAATTAAAAAGATCCATAACTTTTTTTTAGGTTCTTTGTTCTGTGATGATTTTTGATAATTGTTACTAAGAAGAAAAATAACAAGATAATGACTAGCTTTGTTTAATGTCTCATGAAATTTTTATGAACAATTCAAACATAATTTATCCATTTCTTTATTTTTAAATGTGAAGAAATACAAAACATGAGAAGACCCAAAAGATACAAAAGATACAAAAAATGAATAAGGAAATTGAATCAGTAATAAGAGGACTTCCATCAAAGAAAAAGCTCAGGACTTGATCACTTCATTGCTGATTTCTACCAAACATTTAAAGAAGAACTAATACCAATTATTTTCACTTATTCCAGAAAATTGAATAGAAGATAATCCTTCCAAACTCATTTTATGAGGTCATCAATACCATGATTCAAAAACCAGACAAGGACTCCGCAATTAAAAAAAAAAAAAAAACTACAGGCCAATATCCCTGATGAACATAGATGCAAAAATGATCAACAAGATACCCGTCAATTGAATTTGATGGCACAAACAAGCCAAAACTACAAAGACCACAATAAGTACCTGACTCTTCAATGCCCAGACATTGATGAACACCCACAAGCATCTCCATTCAGGAAAACATGACCTCACCAAGCAAACTAAATAAGGCACCAGTGACCAATACCAGAGTGATAGAGCTATGTGATCTTTCAGACCCAGAATTCAAAATAGCTGTTTTGATGAAGCTCAACAAAATTCAAGGTAGCACAGAGAAGGAATTCAGAATCCTATCAGATAAATTGTCAAAGAGATTGAAATAATTTTTTAAAAATGAAACAAATTCTGAAGTTGCAAAATTCGATTGACATAATGAAGAATGCATCAGGGTCTCTTAACAGTAGAATTGGTCAAGCAGAAGAAAGAATTAGTGAGCTGGAAGACAGGCTATTTGAAAATACACAGTCAGAGGAGACAAAAGAAAGAAGAATAAAAGAGAATGAAGCATGCCTACAAGATCTAGAAAATAGCTTCAAAAGGGCAAATCTAAGAGTTATTGGCCTTAAAGAGAAGATATATATAGAGAGATCAGGTTAGAAAGTTTATTCAAAGGGATAACAGAGAATTTCCCTAACCTAGAGAAAGATACCAATATTCAAGCAAAAGAATGTTATAGAATAGCAAGCAGATTTTTTTTTTCCAGACAGGGTCATGCCCAGGCTGGAGTGCACTGATACAATCATGGCTCACCACAGCCTCAGCCTTCCAGGCTCAAGCAATCCTCCCACCTCAGCTTCCCAGTAGCTAAGACCATAGGTGCATCCCACCATACTTGGCTAATTTTCTAAAAATTTTTGTAGAGACAGAGTCTCACTATGTTGCCCAGGCTGGTCTCAAACTCCTGGGCTTACGATATCCTCCTGCCTCAGCCTTTCAAAGTGCTAGGACTATAGGTGTGAGCCATCACACCCAACCTACCAAGAAGATTAAACTCAAAGAAGACTACCTCAAGACATTTGATAATCAGACTCCCAAAGATCATGCTGCAGAATACACATTCTTCTCCTCACCACATGGATCATTCTCAAGGATAGACCATAGATTAAGTCAAAAAACAAATCTTAAAAAATTCAAAACATTGAAATAATATAAAATATCTTCTCTGACCACAATGGAATAAAACTAGAAAGCAATAACCACTTTGAAAACTATACAAACACGTTGAAATTAAACCATATGTTCCTGAATGACCAGAGGGACAGTGAAGAAATTAAGAAGAAAATTTAAAACTGGCTTGAAACCAATGAAAATGGAAACACAGCATACCAAAACCTATGAGATACAGCAAAAACATTACTAAGGGAAAGTTTATAGCAATAAGCACCTAAATTGTAAGAGTAGAAAAACTTCAAATAAACAACTTAATGATGCATCTTAAAAACCTAGGAAAGAAAAAGCAAACCAAAACCAAAATTAGTCAGAGAAATAATAAAGATCAGAGCAGAAATAAATTAAAACGGAATTTTAAAAAATCAACAAAACAAAAATTGGTTTTTTGAAAAGATAAACAAAAGTGACAAAACTTTAGCCAGACTAAACAAAGAGGGGTCTGGCATGGTTGCTCATGTAATTCTGGCACTTTGGGAGGCCAAGGAGGGTGGATCACTTGAGGTCAGGAGTTTAAGAACAGTCTGATCAACATTGCAAAACCCCTGTTTCTACCAAAAATATAAAAATTAGCCACGTGTGGTGGCGCACACCTATAATTCCAGCTACTTGGGAGGCTGAGGCATGAGAATCGCTTGAACCCAGGAGTTGGAGGTTGCAGTGAGCAGAGATCACGCCACTACATTCCAGCCTGGGTGACTGAGTGAAACTCTGTCTCAAACAACAATAAAAACAAAGAAGAAAGATCCAAATAAATAAAATTAGAGATGAAAAAGGAGACATTACAACCAATACTACAAAAATTCAAAGGGTCATTAGATAATACCATGAGCAACTATATGCCAATAAATTGGAAAACCTAGAAGAAATTGATAAATTTCTACATCTACAACCTACCAAGATTGAACTATGAAGAAATCCAAAACCTGAATGTACCAATAACAAGTAACAAGATCAAAATTATAATAAAGTCTGTCAGCAAAGACAAGCCCAGGACCTGATATCTTCACTGCTGAATTTTACCAAACACTAAAGAGAAAACAATAGGCTGGGTGCAGTGGCTCATGCCTATAATCCCGGCACTTTGGGAAGACAAGGTGGGTGGATCACTTTGAGCTCAGGAGTTTGAGAAGAGCCTGGACAACATGGCAAAACCCTGTCTCTACAAAAAAGTACAAAAATTAGCCAGGCATTGGTGGCTCACACCTGTAGTCCAGCTACTCAGGAGTCTGAGGCTAGAGAATTGCTTGATACTGGGAAGTGGAGACTGCAGTGAGCCAACATCGTACCACTGTCCTCCAGCCTGGGCAACAGAGTGAGACCCTGTCTCAAAAAAAAAAGAAGAAGAAATAATACCAATCCTACTCAAACTATTTTGAAAAATAAAGAGGAGGAAATTTTCCAAACTCATCCTACAAGACCAGTATTAACCTGATACCAAAACCTGACAAAGACACATTAGAAAAAAAGACAACTACGGTCTAATATCCCTGATAAGCATTGATGCAAACAGCCTCAACAAAATACTAGCAAACCTAATTCCACAACACATTAAAAGTCTTCATCATGACCAAATGGGATTTAGCCCTGGGATGCAAGAATGGTTCAACATGTGCAAATCAATCAGTGTGATATATCAACAGAATGAAGGACAAAAACAATATGGTCATTTCAACTGATGTTGGAAAAGTATTTGATAAAATTCAACATCCCCTCATGACAAAAACTCTGAAAAACCTGGGTATAGAAGAAACACAACTGAACACAATAAAAGCCATACATGACAGACCTACAGCTAGTACCATATTTAGCAGGTAAAAACTGAACGCCTTTCTCTCAGATCTAGAATAGGACAAAGATGCCCACTTTCACCACTGTTATTCAACATAGTATTAGAAGTCCTAGCTAGAGCAATCAAACAAGAGAAAGAAATAAAGAGCATCCAAATTGGAAAGAAAGAAGTCAAATTATCCTTGTTTGCAGATGATATAATCTTTTATTTGGGAAAAAAACTAAAGACTCCACCAAAAAACTATTAAAACTGATAAATTCAGTAAAGTTGCAGGATACAAAATCAACATACAAAAATCAGTAGCATTTCTATATGCCAACAGCAGTCTGAAAAAAAGAACCCAAGAAATTAATCCCATGCACAATAGCTACAAATAAAATTAAATAACTAGGAATTAACTTAAAGAAATGAAAGATCTCTACAATAGAAACTATAAAACATTGATGAAATAAATTGACGACACCCAAAAATGTAAAGATATTCCATGTTCATTGACTGGAAGAATATAATGTTGTTAAAATAGACATACTATCCAAAGCAATCTATAGATTTAATGCAATCCATATAAAAATACCAATGACATATTTTGCAGAAATAGAAAAAACAGCCAGGCATAGTGGTACATCCCTATAGTCCCAGCTACTGGGAGGAGGCTGAGGCAGGAAGATCATTTAAGCCCAGGAGTTTGAGACTGCACTATGCTATAGTCACCCTGTGAATAGCCACTGAACTCTAGCCTGGGCAACATAGCAAAACACTGTCAAGAAAGAGAGGGAGCAGGCAGGGAGTGAGGGAAAGAAAGAGAGAAAGAGAGAGAGAGACAAAGAAAGACAGACAATGCTAAAATTCATATAGTATCACAAACGACTCCAAATAGCCAAAGCATTCCTGAGCGAATGCAAAGCAAGGCTGAACACATTATACTACCTGATTTCAAAATATACTACAAAGTCATATTAAGCAAAACAGCATGGTACTGGCATAAAAACAGACACACAGACCAATGGAATATAATGGAGAACCCAGAAATATTCACACACCTACAGCCAAGTGATTTTCAACAAAGGTGCCAAGAACACACACTGGGGTAAAGATAATCTCTTAATAAATGGTACAGAAAAAACTGGATATTCACATGCAGGAGAATGAGACCAGATCCCTACCTGTCATCTCATACAAAAAAATCAATTCAAGATGGATTAAAGATCTAAATGTAACACCCAAAACTGGCCAGACATGGTGATTCATGCCTTTAATCACAGCACTTCGAGAGGCCAAGGCTGGAGAATCACTTGAAACCAGAAATTTGAGACCAGCCTGAGCAACATACCAAGACCTTGTCTCTAGTTTGTTGTTGTTTTTTTTGTTTTGTTTTGTTTTATTTTGTTTTTTTGAGATGGAGTCTCATTCTGTTGCCCAGGCTGGAGTGCAGTGGCACAATCTCAGCTCACTGCAACCTCCGCCTCCGGGGTTCAAGCAATTCTCCTGCCTCAGCCTCCCAGGTATCTGGGACTACAGGCATATGCCACCACACCTGGCTAATTTTTGTATTTTTAGTAGAGATGGGGTTTCAGCATGTTGGCCAGGCTGGTCTTGAACTCCCGATCTCAGGTGATCCTACCACCTCAGCCCCACAAAGTGCTGGGATTAAAGGCCTGAGCCACCGTGCCTGACACTTGTCTCTAGTTTTTAGAAAAGAAAATATTAGCCAGGTGTGGTGGTGCATGCCTGTAGCCCAGGAGGTCAAGGTTGCAGTGAGCCACGTTTGCATCACTGCACTCCAGCCTGGGTGACAGAGCAAGAACTTCCCCCCAAAAAAAAGAATAGAAAAAGAAAAAACAATCCATCCAACCCAAAGCTGTGAAAGTACAATAAGGAAACATAGGGGAAACACTTCATGATATGGGACTAGGCAAGGATTTTAAAAATAAGACTTCAAATTCACAGCCAACAAGACAACAAGTAAACAAATGGGATTACATTAAACTAAAAAGCTTTTGTGTAGCAAAGGGACGACCCTACAAAATAGGAGAAATTATTTGCAAACCATATATCTGACAAGGGTTAATATCTAGACTATATAAAGAACTTAACATAAAAACAAAAATCTGATTTTAAAATGGGCAAAGGATCTTAACATGTTTCTCAAAAGAAGATATACAAGTGGCTAACAGGTGTATGAAAAATGCTACATTTCATTAATCATCAGGGAAATGCAAATCAAAATTTCGAGGACATACTGCCTCACACAAATTAGAATGGTTATTATAGAACAGACAGAAGAGGGCCGGGCGCAGTGGCTCATGCCTGTAATCCCAGCACTTTGGGAGGCTGAGGCAGGTGGATCACCTGAGATCAGGAGTTTGAGACCAGCCTGGCCAACATGGCAAAACCCCGTCTCTACTAAAAATACAAAAATTAGCTGGGCATGGTGGTACGTGCCTGTAATCCCAGCTACTGGAGGACTGAGGCAGGAGGATCACTTAAGCCTGGGAGGCAGAGGTTGCAGTGAGCCGAGATCATGCCACTGCACTCCAGCCTGGGCAACAGAGCAAGACTCCATCAAAAAAACAACAAAAAAAAAAACAGAAGAAAACAAGTATTGGGTGGAGTGTGGAGAAAGGGAACACATACATATTTTGGTAGGATTTTAAATTAGTACATCCACTGTGGAAAACAGTATGGAGTTTCTTCAAAAAATTAAAAATAAAACTACTATATGATCCAGCAATCCCATTACTACTAGGTAAATGTCCAAAGGAAATGAAATCAGTAGGTTGAAGAGATATCTGCTCTCTCATGCTTATTGTAGTACTTTTTTTCTGTTTTTATTTTTGAGACAGAGTCTTGCTCTGTCACTCAGGCTGGAGTGCAGTGGCACTATCTCCGCTCACCACAACCTCCGCCTCCTGGGTTCAAGCAATTCTCCTGCCTCAGCCTCCTGAGTAGCTGGGATTGCAGGCGTGTGCTACCATGCTCGGCTAATTTTTTATTTTTAGTAGAGACGGGATTTCACCATGTTGGTCAGGCTGGTCTTGAACTACTGACCTCATGATCCACTCACCTTGGCCTCCCAAAGTGCTGGGATTACAGGCATGAGCCACCGCGCCCAGCTGTAGTACTTTTTACAATAGCCAAGATATAGAAACGACGTAACTCTCCAACAATAGACGAATGGATAAAGAAAATGTGGTATATATACACAACGAAATATTATTTGGCCATAAAAAAGGAGGACACGGGAGGATTATGGGGAGAAGACGGCAGATAGGAGACAGGGTTGATGTGTAACTCCCACTTGGATGAACAGAACAGCATATGGAGACTCACACCACTGACTTTTGCTTAAGGAACCACCACAGGAGCGCACCCAGAAAACCAAAAGAATTTACAGATCATTTGAGAGAAGAGACAGGCCACTGCAAATTATCTGAGGCAGGCGACAAACTATGAATTCCCAAAGTAATACAGGTTATGGGAGAAAGATTTAACCTTATCTAGAGCTAAAACAGATTTAGTGTGAAATATAGAAGTAGAAGCACCAGCAGGAAGAGCCATATAGGCACTGCCATTCTCCAGCTTGAGCCCAGGGAAGCCAACCCTGACCATATCTCACAGGGCCTTCGGGGAAGGCAGCCAGTGGAATTTCAGAGGGGTCACAAGGTGAAAGAAGTTTCCAATTGAACTTTCTAATAATTTTGACCGAGTACAAACTGTTGAGCAGAATCTGGAGACGAATGGGAACTGCTGCAGAAAGGACAGCAGGAGTTGCAGCTGACAGTATGGCAGGCAGGGAGGGGCATGGCCTGAAAGCTGTGCTTGCTTTTTCAGCAGGGAAACTTATAGCCTGGGATTAGGTCTTAGTCCCATGTGTGGGCTACTTGGAGATAAGCTCAGTGCTGTTATTAGGACATGATCAGAGCAAGACTGGCCTCAACAACTGCGTGGGAGCTGGATGAGGCCTATTGCTACCAGCTTTTCCACACTTCCCTGATGACAGAGGCAGCCATAATCCCCTTTGAAACATAATCCCATTAGCTTAAGAACCACTTCCCATCCCCCATAATGGCCATGGCAAGCCCCATCCAAGAAGACTCTGAGCCCAGATCCGCCTAACCCTGCCCCAACCTAATGGTATTTCTCTACCTGCCCTGGTAGCAGATCACAAAAGACATAAACACTTGGGAGATTTATGACCCCATCTATCACTTGAGAAACCTGAATACGTGTCCTGGCCAACTTAGGGCAAGGTTATATCTCCCTTCTACTATTGCAGCTGGTGCTCTCTTGAAAGCACCTCCTCCTGGCTGGAGGCTAACTAACTCAGGATATTACAGCAACTCATGACAGAATACCCCTGCTCCAAGGAAGGAGAAAACAACAACTAATTCCACTGCCTGCAACATCCTGGCTAACCAGAGGTCCTGAGTCGATCCATGTGACAACTTCACTACCAGCATATCCAGCATTCGAGAAAACCAGGGTACTAAACATATCTACAACCAAAGAGTCTCACAGAGTCTGCTTTACTCCCCTGCCACCTCCACCAGGGCAAGTTCTGGTATCCACGGCTGGGAGAACTGAAGACAGATCGCATCACAGGACTCTTTGCAGACATTGCCCAGCACCAGCCCAGAACCTGGTAGCCCTGCGGGGTGGCTAGACCCAGAAGAGCAATAACAATCACTGCAGTCAGGCTTGCAGGAAACCCCGTCCCTAGGGGAAGGGGAAGTGTACCACATCAAGAGACCACCCCATGGGACAAAAGAATCTGAACAGCAGGCCTTGAGTTCTAGATTTTTCTGCTCAAATAGTCTACCCAAATGAGAAGGAATCAGAAAGTAAATTCTGGTAATATGACAAAACAAGGTTCTATAACACTCCCAAAAGGCCACACTAGCTCCCCAGCATTAGATTCAAACCAAGAAGAAATATCTAAATTGCCAGATAAAGAATTCAGAAGGTTGATTATTAAGCTACTTAAGGAGATACCAGACAAAGGTGAAAACCAACTTAAAGAAATTTAAAAAAAAATACAGGATATGGATGAAAAATGCTCCAGAGAAATAGATATTATTGAAAAAATTACAACTTCTGGAAATGAAAGACACAATTAGTGAAATACAAAATGCAATGGAAAGTTTCAACAACAGAATTGAACAAGTAGAAGAAAGAATTTCAGAGCTTGAAGAGAAGGCTTTTGAATTAACCCAATCAGACAAAGACAAGGAAAAAAGAATTTTTCAAAAATGAACAAAGCTTCCAAGAAATTTGGGATTATGTTAAACAGGCAAACCTAAGAATAATTGGTGTTGCCAAGGAAGAAAAGAAATCTAAAACTTTGGAAAACATATTTGAGGAAATAATCAAGGAAAACTTTCCTGGCCTCACTAGAGACCTAGACATTCTACCCAATAATTGCAGAATATACATTCTTTCCATCAGCACATGGAACATTCTCCAAGATAGACCATATGATAGGCCACAAAACAAGTCTCAATAAATTTAAGAAATTTGAAACTATATCAAGTACCCTCTCAGACCACAGTGGAATAAAATTGGAAATTAACTCCAAAAGGAACCCTCAAAACTATACAAGTACCTGGAAATTAAATAATCTGCTACTGAATGATCTTTGGGTCAACAATGAAATCAAGATGGAAATGTAAAAATTCTTTGAACTGAATGATAATAGTGACACAACTTATCAAAACCTCCAGGACACAGCAAAAGTGGTGCTAAGAGGAAAGTTCATAGCATTAAATTTAACAAAAAGTCTGAAAGAGCACAAATAGATGATCCAAGGTCACACCTCAAGGAACTAGAGGAACAAGAACAAACCAAACCCAAACTGAGCAGAAGAAAAGAAAAAACAAAGATTAGAGCAGAAATAAATGAAATTGAAAAAAAATACAAAAGATAAATAAACAAAAAGCTGGTTCTTTGAAAAGACAGACAAAATTGATAGACCATTAGTGAGATTAACCAAAAAAAGAAGAGAGAAAATCTAAATAAGCTCAATTGGAAACGAAACAGGAGATACTACAAGTGATACCACAGAAATACAAAAGATCATTCAAGGCTATTATGAACACGTTTATACACAAAAACTAGAAAATCTAGAGGAGATGGATAAATTCCTGGAAATACACAACCCTCCTAGATTAAATCAGGAAGAAATAGAAACTGAACAGACTAATAACAAGTAGCAAGATTGAAATAGTAATTTTTTAAAAATTGCCAACAAAAAAAGTCCAGGACCAGATGGATTCACAGCTGAATTCTCTCAGGCATTCAAAGAATAATTGGTTCAAAATTATTCCAAAAGATAGAGAAAGAGGGAATCTTCTCTAAATCATTCTACGAAGCCAGTGTTGAAACAGGAGACAGCCAAATGCTGCCCAGGTCATTGTGCACATGGGGCTTGCCTAAACACACCCACAGTGAAAAATTTTGTCCACTAACACATGCACAGTAAGAGAAATAAATCAACGTGGAGTGGCTCAGACTAAGGGCCCATCTGTGCACTGGGAGAATGGTGTGGAGCCATCAGGAATTTGCACCTTATGCAGGAGGGAAGAAGCCTGTCCTCTTCAGCTCTTGTGTGGTGGTCCAGTATTCAATCTGTGAGGTGGGAGCCTGTTGGCAGGACCCCCTCTTTTTTGCTGAGAGCGTTCTTTTAATAAATTCCACTCTCCTCACCTTTCAATTTGTTCACATGCCTAATTTTTCCTGGGTATTAGACAAGAACCCAGATTTAAATAAACTAAGGAACAAAAAATCTTGCTTCAGTACCACCCTAATACCAAAACAAGGAAAGAACATAACAAGGAAAGAAAATTACAGACCAATATCTCTGATGAACATAGATGCAAAATTCCTCAACAGAATACTAGCTAACTGAATCAAACAGCATATCAAAAAGATAATACACCATGATCAAGTGGATTTCATACCACGGATGTAGGGATGGTTTAACATATGGAAGTCAATAAATGTGATACATCACATAAACAGAATTAAAAACAAAAATCATATAATCATCTCAACAGATGCAGAAAAAGCATTTGACAAAATCCAGCATCACTTTATGATTAAAACCTTCAGCAAAATCAGCATAGAAGAGACATACCTCAAGGCAATAAAAACCGTCTATGACAAACCCACAGCCAACATTATACTGAATAGGGAAAACTCAAAAGCATTCCCCCTGAGAAGGGGAACAAGACAAGGATGCCCACTTTCACCACTTCTATTCAACATAGTACTGGAAGTGCTAGCCAGAGCAATCAGACAAGAGAAAGAAATTAAGGGCATCCAAATTAGTAAAGAGGAAGTCCAGCTGTCACTGTTCGCCGATGATATGATTATATACCTAGAAAACCCTAAAGACTCATCCAAAAATCTCCTACATCGATAAATGAATTCAGTAAAGTTTCAGGGTACAAAATCAATGAACACAAATCAGTAGACTGCTATACACCAACAATGACGAAGCTGAAAATCAAATCAAGAACTCAACCCCTTTTACAACAGCTACAAAAAAAAAAAAAATACAATAAAATATTTAGGAATATACCTAACCAAGGAGATGAAAAAGCTCTACAAGGAAAACTACAAAACACTGCTCAAAGAAATTATCGATGACACAATAAAATGAAAATGCATCCCATGCTCATGGATGGGTAGAATTGATATTGTGAAAATGACCATACCAATGCCAAAAGCAGTCTACAAATTCAACGCAATTCCCATCAAAATACCATCATCGGCTGGGTGCAGTGGCTCACGCCTGTAATCCCAGCACTTTGGGAGGCTGAGGTGGGGGGATCCCAAGGTCAAGAGTTCGAGACCAGCCTGACCAACATGGTGAAACCCCATCTGTACTAAAAACACAGAAATTAGCTGGGTGTGGTGGCGTGCGCCTGTAATCCCAGCTACTCAGGAGGCTGAGGCAGGAGAATCGCTTGAACCCAGGAGGCAGAGGTTGCAGTGAGCTGAGATTGCGCCACTGCACTCCAGTCTGGGCAACGGAGCAAGACTCCGTCTCAAAAAAAAAAAAAAAAGAAGCCAGCTCAAACCAACTAGAAGTAAGATGGCAATGAAAGTGACCTCTGATTACCCTCACTGCTCATTATAGGCTAATTATAATGCATTCACATGCTAAAAGACATGCCCACCAATGCCGTGATAGTTTACAAATGCCATGGCAACACCTGGAAGTTACCCTATATGGTCTGTAAGGGGGAGAAACCCCTGGTTCTGGGAGCTCCTTGCCCCTTTTCCAGAAAACTCATGAAACAATCCTCCTCTTGTTTAGCATATCATCAAGAAATAGCCATCAAATAGCCAGCTAGCAGCAACCCCCACAGCACAACTCTGCCTATGCTGTAGGCTTTATTTCATTTGTTTCCTTAATAAACTTGCTTTCACTTTATTCTCTCATCTCGTTCTTGAATTCTTTCCTCCATGAAGCCAAGAAAGCATTGGCCTCCCAGGCTGAACACCAATTTTTCGGGTTCCACTTTGTCAAAAGGTTGCTCTCAAAAACAGAGGAGGTTGTGGTGAAAGGCAATTGGGAGGAGATTCAAGACACAGGCTAAACCATGGGCCAGCTTGTCTGCAGGAGAGAACCAGAGAAAGACACAGCTGGGAGGAGCACCCTGGTGTCAGAACAAATATCCAATACTGACACCCAGACCTATCTCTTTGAAGGAGCCTGAATTTTACTGGATTAGTTCTAGATTAATTTATGCCCTTGTAACCGCCCAAGGGGTTCACCTTCCCCGATGGGTAGGCAGAGCCAATTCATCAAGACAGGGGAATTGCAATAGAGAAAGAATAATTCACACAGAGCTGGCTGTGCGGGAGACCGGAGTTTTATTATTACTCAAATCAGTCTCTCCGAGAATTCAAGAAGCAGAGTTTGTAAAGATAACTTGATGGGTAGCGGGGCGTGGAAGCCAGCGAGCCAGGCGTGCTGATTGGTCAGAGATGAAATAATAGAGAACCGAAGCTGTCTTCCTGCACTGAGTCAGTTCCCGGGTGGCGGGAGCCACAAGAGCAGATGAGCCAGTTTATTGATCTGGGTGGTGCCAGCTGATCCATCAAGTGCAGGGTCTGCAAAATATCTCCAGCACTGATCTTAGGAGCAGTTAGGGAAGGTCAGAATCTTTTAGACTCCAGCTGCATGACTCCTAAACCATAATTTCTAATCTTGTGGCTTATGTTAGTCCTACAAAGGCAATCTAGTTCCCAGGCAAGAAGGAGGTCTGCTTTGCGAAGGGGCTGTTACTGTCTTTGTTTAAACTATAAAGTAAGTTTCTCCCAAAGTTAGTTCAGCCTATGCCCAGGAATGAACAAGAGCAGCTTGGAGGTTAGAAGAAAGATGGAGTCAGTAAAGTTAGATCTCTTTCACTGTCTCAGTCATAATTTTGCAAAGGTGGTTTCACCCTCTAAGGCTTCTCTGAAAACAATAGAACAACTAGCTAGCAATTCATGGAGTTTAACAGAGGGGTATAGTCAGGGAAAGAAATGAGGTGAACACAGCCAAGTCCACTGCCCTGCCAGGGTGACTGTGTTCATCCCCACCTGGGCCTCCTTGAGGAGCAACATGAGAGGCTTAGTACTGCAGAGGGGCTGGGGGTGGGGGAGAAACTAGACTTCATTAAAATAGTCCAGCCAGTCACTAAACAAATAAACAGCAAATAATACCAACAAGCTCTGGAAGGGGTAGGGACAGACCCAGAGTGGCTACCATATGTTATCTACAATGTATCACACCTGTAATCCCTTTGGGAAGCTGAAGATGGAGGATCCCTTAAGCTGAAGAGTTTGAGACCAGCCTGGGCAATATGGTGAGACCCCCATCTCTACAAAAGATACAAAAAATTAGCCAGATGTGGTGGTGTGCCCCTGTAGTCCCAGCTACTCAGGTGGCTGAGGCAGGAGAATTGCTTGAGCCCGGGAGGTCAAGGCTGCAGTGAGCCATGAGTGTGCCATTGCACTCCAGCCTGGGTGACAGTGAGACCCTATCTCAAAAATAAATAATAAATAGGCTGTCCTGCCTGTGGAGTAACCATTCTTTTATTCTTTTACTTTCTTAATAAACTTGCTTTCACTTTACAGACTCGCCCTGAATTCTTTCTTGCTTGAGGTCCAAGAACCCTGTCTTGGGGTCTGGATCAGGACCCCTTTCTGGTAACAATCATACCACTGCATTCCAGCCTGGGTAATGGGAGTGAGACCCTGTCTCAAAAAATAAACAAACAAACAAATAAATAAATAAATATGTTCAAAGACCTAAGAGAAACCACAAAGAAGTAAAGGAAGTTGTGATGACAATATCACACTAAATACAAAATATCAATAAAGGGATAGAAATTATAAAAAGCACCAAATGGAAATTCTGCAGTTGAAATTTGTAAATGGAAAAAATCACTGAAATGAAAAAAAAAAGATTTGAGCTAGCAGATGAAACACTTAGTGAACTTGAAGATAAGTCGATAGAAATTACATAATCCAAAGAACAGGAAGAAAAAGAAATGAAAAATAATAAAGCCTCAAAGAAATGTGGGACACCATTTAGCACACCAACATATATGTAATGGGAATGCCAGAAGGAGCAGACAGAGACGAGCAGAAAAAATATTCAAAGAGATAATGGCTAGAAACATCCCATACTGAAAAACACCAACCTATGTATCTAGGAAGCTCAAGGGACTTCAAGTAGGATAAACACAAAGAAGTCCAAAAACAGACCATCATAGTAGAAATACTGAAGGTCAAAGACAAAGGGATAATCTTCAAAACCACAAGAAAAAAACAGTTCATCACTTACAAGAGAACTCTAGGAAAATATAATTATGAAAGATAGTATAAATGCATATTTTGTTTTTCTTCTCTTATTTAAAAAGCAATTGTGTAAAATGTGTATATATTGCTGAGCCTAAAACATATAGGATTTTTATATATTTTTATATATATATTATATATATAATATATTATATATACTATATATATTATATATATATATATAAATTTATATATAAATTTTTAATATATTTGCCAATAAAAACCCAAAGGAGGTGATTGGAAGCAAAGCTGTTTTGAACTAAGTGACTACAGATGGTAAAATAATAATTATAACAATATATTACTTCGTCTGTAACATTACTAGAGTTAACATGTACAACGAAACCAAAAAAGGAAGGGGGAAGAATAGACTTATATAAAAATAGTGCCTCTATATCTCACTTGAATTAAGTTAGTATAAATCTGAAGTTAATTCTAATTTGTTAAGAAGCCCTTGTTACCAGTGGAGCGTGTCCAGTTTCTTGGCATCTCAAACAAAGAATTTGACAAAACGCACAAACAAAGCAAGTAAAGAATGAAGCAACAAAAGCAGAGATTTACTGAAAACAAAAGCACACTCCACAGGGCAGGAGCATAGGGGCTCAAGAGCCGAATTACAGAGTTTTCTGGGGTTTAAATACCCTCTAGAGGTTTCCATTGGTTACTTGGTGTACTCCCTATGTAAATGAAGAGGCTAAAGTGAAGTTGCAAAGTTATTTGCTTGGTGTACACCCTGTAAATGAAGAGGATATTTCCTGTCATAGCTGAAGTGTTTCCATTTGATTTAGTTCTAGGAAGTCCTTAGGTTCCCTGCCTCTAGGCCCTATTCTTCTGCCTCATACTGAAAAAACAAACCTCAAAAAGTAGGAAAAAAAATCACTATAGAAATGTAAATACTTCATTAAAAAATATTCACTTAATGCAAAAGATAGCAGTAAAGGAAGAATAGAGGACCAAAAAAGAGATGAGACACATAGAAAATAAGTAAAATGGTAGACATAAATCCAACTATATCAACAATAGCATTCAATATGAATTTATTAAACAATCTAATTAAGGGCAGAACTTGTAAAACTGAATTTTAAAAAACAAGATCTAACTATGTAATATCTATGGAGAATATAATTTAGATTCAAAGATACAAATAGATTGAAAGTAAAAGGATGGAAAAAGATTTGCAAATCACCACCACAAGAATTGAAATGGCTATCCTAATATCAAACAAAATAAACTGTAAAACAAAAATGTTAGTAGAAATAAGAGGAAATTTATAATGAAAAAAGATAAGACTCAAATTGTTGCTGGAGAGCTTAGGTTGGTCTCCAGGTGCTGGTGAGGCCCCAGCCCCAGGCGGGTGTTCCAGGTTCTTGAAACCATTGCGAGAAAGAATTCAGGGATGAGACAGAATAAAACAAAAGACAAGAAGCGTTTTTTCTGTTTTTTGTTTTGTTTTGTTTTGTTTTTGAGATGGAGTCTTGCTCTGTCACCCAGGCTGGAGTGCAATGGCATAATTTTGGCTCACTGCAACCTCCGCCTCCTGGGTTCAAATGATTCTCCCATGTCAGCCTCCAAAGTAGCTGGAATTACTGGCATGCACCACCACACCCAGCTAATTTTTGTATGTTTAGGAGAGACGGGTTTTGCCGTGTTGGCCAGGTTGGTCTCGAACTCCTGACCTCAAGTGATCCGCCCACCTAGGCCTCCCAAAGTGCTGGGATTACAGGTGTGAGCCACCAGGCCCAGCCAAGAAGCTTTCATTGCAAAGCAAAAGTACACACTTAAGAGCGAGAGTGGCTAGGGGTGTGCTCGGGAGGGTGAGTCACATGCAACAGAGTTTGGGTTTCTAATTTTATGGACTCTTCTAATAAAGGAGTAGAATAATCATGAAGTCTTCTAGGAAAAATGTGGCGATTTACTAGAATTGGGTTGCCACACATTTTGGGCATGCCCGGATCTGTCATGGCGTTGGTGGGTGTGTGCTTTAGTATGGTAATGAACGTATAATGAGGTCTGGGGTAAGGTATGGATCAAATCCAGCACCATGGTGAACCCAGTTGGTTTCAATCAGGTTAGCACCATCCTGTTTGTTAGGGTCTTACCATCCCAGGCTTGTTCTTATCCTTGTAGCTAATTTTAACAGCTCCTTTCTTGCTGCTACCTGAAATTGCTGGGTGTTTCTTAATTAGAAGATGGAATAATGACTGGGCCCAGTGGCTCAGACCTGTAATCCCAGAAGTTTGGGAGGCTGAGGTGGGAGGATTGCTTGAGGCCAGGAGTTTGAGACCAGCCTGGTCAACATAGTGAGACCCCACCTCTATAAAGGAAAAAAAATTAAGAAAAAAGAAGATGAAATAATTATTAGGTATTTAGGAAAAGAAGGGGATTTCAGTGAAAACCCCTCTCCTTTATTTGGGTTTCCCTGGAAGAGTCATGGACAGGTCACCCAAACCCGAATTTTGGCAATTTTCTCTCCCTTATTTTGGGTTTTCTATTCTGTAGTTTCTTTGCATAGTTCCTGTTTTAGCTGTTTGGGGTTTTCTATCCTCCTGCCACCACCCAGTGCTATTCTTCTCTCTCAAAATTACTAGAATCAGGCAGTGTTACTACTGACCTTATAGACATGAAAAGATTATATAGGAATATTATGAATAACTGCATGCCAATAAATTAGATAATCTATGGGCTGCGCACAGTGGCTCATGCCTGTAATCCCAGCACTTTGGGAGGCTGAGGTGGGGGGGATCACTAGAGGCCAGGAGTTTGAGACCAGCCTGGCCAACATGGCAAAACCCTATCTCTACTAAAAATACAAAAAATTAGCCAGGCGTGGTAGCAGGTGCCTGTAATCCCTGCTACTTGGGAGGCTGAGGCACTAGAATTGCTTGAACCTGGGAGGCAGAGGTTGTAGTGAGCCAAGACTGTGCTACTACAGAGTGAGACCCTGTCTCAAAAATAAATACATACATAAATAAAATAACCTAGATAAAATAAATTCCTCAAAGACACAAACTATTAAAAATGACTCAAGAAGAAATAGAAAATCTGAATAGACCTATAACAAATGAAGAAACTGAATTAGTATTTAAAAATTAAAAAACTGCTCACGAAAAAGTCCCAGGTAGCTTCACTGCTCAGTTCTACCAAACATTCAAACGTTCACAGAAAGCTAATACCAACTCTTCATAAACTCTTTCAAAAAATAGAAGAGGAAAAAACACTTCCCAATTCACTATATGAGGCCACTATTACCCTAATATTAAAACTGTACAAAGGCAACACAAGAAATCTACAGCCAGGCGTGGTAGCTCACACCTGTAATCCCAGCACTTTGGGAGGCCGAGGCGGGTGGATCACGAGGTCAGGAGATCGAGACCATCCTGGCTAACATGGTGAAACCCCGTCTCTACTAAAAATACAAAAAATTAGCCGGGGGTGGTGGCGGGCGCCTGTAGTCCCAGCTACTCGGGAGTCTGAGGCAGGAGAATTGCTTGAACCCAGGAGGCGGAGCTTGCAGTGAGCCAAGATCGCGCCATTGCACTCCAGCCTGGGCGACAGAGCGAGACTCCGTCTCAAAAACAAACAAACAAACAACAACCAAAAAAGAAATCTACAGACTGGCCAGGCCCAGTGGGTCATCGCTGTAATCCCAGCACTTTGGGAGGTTAAGGTAGGCAGATACTTAAAGTCAGGAGTTTGAAACCAGCCTGGCCAACATGGTGAAACCCCATCTTTACTAAAAAGTACAAAATTAGCTGGGCGTGGTGGTGCACACCTGTAAATCCCAGCTACTCAGGAGGTTGAGGCAGGAGAATTGCTTGAATCCGGGAGGCGGAGGCTGCAGTAAGCAAAGATTTCACCACTGCACTCCAGCCTGGGCGACAGAGCGAAACTCTGTCTCAGAAAAAAAAAAAAGGAGAAGAACATCAGACTAGCATTATTAACCAAGCTCAACTATGGTTTAAAAGTGAAGCTATATAAAGATATGTTCGAGTATTCAAAAACTAAGAAAGTCAACTACTCAAAGACCCGCACTGAAGGCTGCAGTGAGTTACGATTGCACAACTGCACTCTAGCCTGAGTGACAGAGTGAGACCCTGTCTCAAAAGAAAAACAAAAGAGAGAGAAAGAGAATGAGAGACATGGGGTGTCACTATGTTTCCCCCATGCTGGGCTCAAACTCCTGGGCTCAAGCAATCCTCCCATCTCAACCTCTCAAGTAGCTGGGGCTGGGGTGATAGGCGTGTGCCACTGTGCCCGGTTTATTGCCTGACCTTTTTATTCTAGCCATTGTAGTGGATGTAAAGTGGTATCTCATTGTGGTTTTGCTTTGCATTTCCCCAGTGATTAATGATGATGTCAAGCATCTTTTCACTGTGATTATTGGCCTTCCTTGGAGAAATATCTATTCAGATCTTTAGTCTTTTTTTTTTTTTTTGACAGTGTCTTGCTTTGTCACCCAGGCTGGAGGGCAGTGGCATGATCATGGCTTACCTTTGTCTATTTTTAAATTAGGTTTTTTATAGATGCCTTTTATCAGGTTGAGAAATTTTCCTTCTATTCCTAGTATGTTGAATGTTTCTATCATGAAAGGGTGTTGAATTTTGTCCACTAGTTTTTCTGTGTTTAATGAGATGATTATTTGATACTGGTATGATATATTACATTAATTCTATTGATATAACATATTCCATTAATTGACATTTGGATGTTAAAACAAACTTGCACTCTGGGATAAATTCCACTTGGTCATGGAATGTAATTTGGTTTATATGTTTCTGGATTCTGTTTGCTAGTATTTTGTTGAGGACTTTTGCATTCATACTCATAAGATATATTGGTCTGCATATTTCTTTTTTAGTAGAGATGGGGATTCTCCATGTTGGCCAGGCTGGTCTCAAACTCCTGACCTCAAGTGATCCACCCACCTCGGCCTCCCAAAGTGCTGGGATTACAGGTGTGAGCTACATGCCCAGCCAGACAGTTACTTTCTTTCTCTACTTTGGAAATACTGTTTCATTGGCTTCTAGCACTATTATTGCTAAGGATAAATCAGCTGTCAATCTAATTCTCATTCTTTTGAGGGTATCTGTCTTGTTTCTCAGGTACCTTTTTTTCTTTTTCTTTTTTTTTTTTTTTTTTGAGACAGAGTCTTGCTCTGTCGCCCATGCTGGAGTGCAGTGGCGTGATCTCAGCTCACTGCAGCCTCCACTTCCTGGGTTCAAGCGATTCTCCTGCCTCAGCCTCCTCAGTACGTGGGACTACAGGTGCATGCCACTATACTGGCTAATTTTTGTATATTTAGTAGAGATGTGGTTTCTCTGTGTTGGCCAGGCTGGTCTCGAACTCCTGACCTCAGATGATCCGCCCACCTCGGCCTCCCAAAGTGCTGGGATTACAGGCCTGAGCCACCATGCCCAGCCTACATATATTTTATTTTTTCACTCTGTTCTTCATGTATCTCTTTTTTTTTTTTTTATTTTGCGATGGGGTCTCACTCTGTCACCCAGGCTGGAGTGCAGTGACGCAATCTCGGCTCACTGCAACCTCTTCCTCCCGGGTTCAAGTGATTCTCCTGCCTCAGCCTTCTGAGTAGCTGGGATTACAGGTGCCCACCATAATGCCTGACTAGTTTTTGTATTTTGAGTAGAGACGGGGTTTCACTGCGCTGCCCAGGCTGGTCTCGAACTCCTAACATCAGGTGTTCCAAACTACTGGGATTACAGGCATGAGCAACCGTGCCTGGCCATATATCTTAATAGCTCTTTCCCATGTTCTGTTTATTTATCACTTTGTGCTATATTATGGGTGATGTCCTCAGCTCCATTTTCCAATCTAATCATCCTCTCTTGTGCTATGTCTCTGATCTAACCACTTAGCTTTAAAACTGACTATATTTTTTTTATTTTCTGGAATTTCTACTTAAAATTATCTGTTCTTTATTATTACTATTTTATGTTATTCTTGCCAGAGAGGGTCTTTTCTTTGCTTTACCTATTTGATTATTTTTAACATATGGATCTGCTTATCTGTGTCCCCACCCAAATCTCATCTTGAATTGTAACTCCCACAGTTTGCACCTGTTGTGGGAGAAGCCCAGTGGGAGGTGATTGAATTATGGGGGCGGGTCTTTCCTTCACTGTTCCTGTGATAGTGAATGAGTCTCACAAAATCTAATGGTTTTAAAAACAGGAGTTTGCCTGCACAAGCTCTCTCTTTGCCTCTTGCCATCGACGTAAGATGTGACTTGCTCCTCCTTGCCTTCTGCTATGATTGTGAGGCCTCTCCAGCCACATGGAACTGTAACTCCAATAAACTTCTTTCTTTTGTAAATTGTCCTGTCTCGGATATGTCTTTATCAGCAGCATGAAAACAGACTAATACACATACTTATTTCAAATTCTTTTTCAGATTGCTCTATTATCTCTATCTCTTGAAGTGTAAATGCTTCCAATTGCTGTGTATGTTCCCTCACCCTCACAGTGGTAATTTTCTTCTGTGGTTTTTCATCTTTCAAATTGTAAAATTATCTCTGGTGGAGTTTTTTTTTTTTTTCCCATGGAAATTCTGTGCATTGTGGGTTACGTGAGCATCCCTATAGAGCAGTTTCATGTTTGCCTCTGCCAGGACCTTGAAGGTTTCATGGGTTTCAAATGAGTTTCCATATTAATTTCTCAGTTTAGTGTTCCTACCATATGAAGTATTGTGAATTCAGACCCTGCATTGGTGGGTGACATAGTGTCAAGCAGTCCTTAAGTACCAGTGACTACAGTTGCTGCTGGGTCAGTTCACCACACTTCCATATATTCAGCCACTAAGGAGACAAATCCTGATGGCTTAGGCACGGCAGGCAGCGCAAGCCTCATGCTCACTTTGGGGCACTCTGTGCATCGAGACAAGTCCTGAGGTACTAAGAGTGCTGAGGAGGAGCTCAGTGTTTCTCGGCTGTGTCACAGTGACACAGTGACTGAATCACTGAGCTTAGGAAACCTCCAACCTTCTTGAAGGGACTGCTGGCAAAAATACCAATCTTTGCCCCTGAGGAAAATATTATCTTTATTATCCTTATCAAGGAACAATCTGCTCTCTTATCCAGAGGGAGGCACTATCTCTAGTTTCCAAGGCCATCTCCTGTACATGCTTGAATAGGGAGTTTGAGACTAAAATTGTCATAAGACTTGTAGAAATGCCATGGAAGGCCGGGCGCAGTGGCTCATGCCTGTAATCCCAGCACTTTGGGAGGCTGAGATGGGAAGATAACCTGAGGTCAGGAGTTTGAGATCAGCCTGGCCAACATGGTGAAACCCTATCAATACTAAAAATATACAAATTCGTTGGGTGTGGTGGTGCACACCTGTAGTCCCAGCTACTAGGGAGGCTGAGGCAGGAGAATTGCTTGAACCTGGGAGACAGAGGTTGCAGTGAGCTGAGATTATGCCACTGCACTCCAGCCTGGGTGACAGAAGTAGACTTTGTCTAAAGAAAAAAAAGAAATGCTATGGAGAATTGTATTAGACCATTTTCATACTGCTATAAAGAACTGCCTGAGACTGGGTTATTTTTTTAAGGAAAGAGGTGGCCAGATGTGATAGCTCACATCTGTAATCATAGCACTGTGGGAGGTGGAGGCAGGTGGATCACATGAGGCCAGGAGTTCAAGACCACCCTGGCCAACATGGTGAAACCCTGTCTCTACAAAAAAAAAAAAAAAAATACAAAAATTAGCCGGGCATGGTGGTGCACACCTGTAATCCCAGCTACTTGGGAGGCTGAGGTGGAAGAATTGATTGAACTTGGGAGGTGGAGGTTACAGTGAGCTGAGATTGTGCCACTGCATGCCAGCCTGGGTGACAGAGCGAGACTCTGTCTCAAAAATAATAAATATATTTTAAAAAAGAGGTTTAATTCACTCACAGTTCAGCATGGCTGGGGATGCCTCAGGAAATTTACAATCACAGCAGAAGGCGAAGGCAAAGCAAGACACATTTTTCACAAGGCGGCAGAAAGGAGACGTGCCAAGGGAAGAGGGGAAGAGCCTCTTATAAAACCATCAGATCTCGTGAGAACTCACTCACTATCACAAGAACAGCATGGGAGAACCACCCCAGGATTCAGTTACATCCACCTGGTCTCTCCCTTGACAGGTGGAGATTACGGGGATTACAATTTAAGATGAGATTTGTGTCAAAACACAAAGCCTAACCATATCAAAAATTATCTCCAAACACAAAGGTTCTAGTTTCTCATAAGGGACTTTTTCCACCCATAGCAGCTCCTCACCACTCTAAGTACCTCAGGATTCGTCTTTCTTGGTTTCAAGTATAGTAATAAATAAAATAATTTTTGGTTGCTGTTGTTAGGTGTTAACCAGCATTTCTATTTATTTGACTGGGAGTGGGCATGGATGGGGGCAAAGCTTCCGCATCTGGTCAGCCCTCACTATTTACTGAATGTCAATTATTACTTGTCTACTTCCTTGTTTAAACTGTTCTGAGTATAAATCCCAACCATACCTATCACTACCTGCCAATGCCTCCTTACTATCACCAAGGTTGGACTCTTGCTGCAGATGTCTAACCTGAATCTAATAATGAGAAAACAATTGGACAAATCCAAACTGAGGGCCTCTCTTCACAACAACTAGCCTGGAACCTTCAAAAATATCAGTGTTGTTAGGGAAATATGCCTGAGGACTTAATTTAGATTAAGGGAGATTAGAGAGACCTGACAACTAAATTCAGTGCTAATCTGATTCTTTTTTTAAAAAAATTTTTTATTTTTGAGACAGAGTCTCGCTCTGTTGCCCAGGCTGGATGGAGTGCAGTGGTGCGATCCTGGCTCACGGCAGCCTCCACCTTCCAAATTCAAGTGATTCTCGTGCCTCAGCCACACAAGTAGCTGGGATTACAGGCATGAGCCACCATGACTGGCTAAGTTTTGTATTTTTAGTAGAGACAGGGTTTCACCATGTTGGCCAGTCTGGTCTTGAACTCCTGACCTCAAATGATCTGCCTGCCTTGACCTCCCAAAGTGCTGAGATTACTGGCATGAGCCACAGGGCTTGGCCCCAATTCTTATTTGGATTCTAGATTGAACAACAACAACAAAAAGCAGTTATAATATTGGGGAAATTTGAATACATTCTGCATATTAGCTATAGAATTATATCCAGGTTAAAATTCCTTATTGTAATATTCTGTGTTTTAGTAGGAGAATGCCCTTGTTTCTAGAAAATATATGTCTAAGTATTTAGAAGTAAAAGATCAGAAAAAAAGAGAAGGCTACGGAGAGAAAATGAGAAAGAGTTAATGCGGCAAAAATGTCAACAATTGGGAAACCTGGATGATGGCTATATTTATATTTAGAAATACATATATTCCCATCCATCCATCTACATTTAGAGAGAGAGATGTTTATCATATTCTCCTTGCAACTTTTCTGTAGGTTTGACTTCTTTTTTCAAATGAGGAGTTGGGGAGGGGGAAAAGGCTCAACACATTCTTTATGAAGCCTGTCCTGATACTAGTACGCTTTCTTTGCTGTGATCCACAGGGCCCTGTAGACACTTCCATGTCAGCATATATCCATTAACTTCATGCACCAATTCCTTTCCCTGCATAGAGACCCGCCTAAGCTCAGGGACTTTTGTTTATTTCATCTTTGTATTGTCACCAACCACACAGCAGGGGTGGAATAAACGTTTGTTAAATACGTCAAGGAAAGATGCAACAAATCTTTGAGTTTAGCTAAACCATTTTGGGAACCATTCCCATTTTTAGATCTAGACAGTAAGCTTTCAGAGTTGAACTCCCACCATGAGCTGCTGCTGGGATTGATGTTTTTATAACTCAACAGTTTGAATTCGTCAGACAACCTAAATATGTCACTGTGAACTTCCTCTCGTAGAATGATAATCAAAATGTTAAATGAAATAAGTGTGCATTCTGATTCCTGAGATGACAATTTTCTGTTTGAGAGGAGTCCGTTTATACTCACCCTGTTTCTTATCTCGAAGGCGGTTCTACAGATAAATTTTCCTTAAGACCGAGGAATCTCTTTAAAAACATTTTTTAATGTAAAGCCTTGTCACACTAATTTTTGTAGACAAAATACATTTTATCCTTGTTTATATATATTGTGTCCACTTATTTGACACTTCAAAGATGTTTTTTGGAGTACTTTGGCCCACTTTCCACTTAGAGAAACTGTGGTTCCTAACCAGGTTGATTCAAGCAATATTAACTGACTTAGATTTTGTGGGTTCCCTGACGCTTGGGTGTTTACAATGTGGTGTATATGAGATGTAAACCCCTCAATTTGATTATGTTGGCTATGATTTTCTTGGTTATGATACCATTTGCCCAATGTAGGCATTAAAAATAGCCTAGAATTCAGGTCATTAAGGCCTCATTTTCTATGAATTTTTAACAGTATTTTGTCTACATTAAAAATTATTTTGGAGGATTAATGAGGTTTAATTGAGGAGACTCACTATTTCTCCATTGTGTTTAACTTCTTCAATTACAAAAGCAATGTTTTTGCCACCGGTTCTGATAATAGGATTTAAAGATTTGAATTTCATTGCAACGTAATACCTTCTAATCAGGATATTCAGCTCTTTTCATAAAACTAGAATAGTGTCATCTGAAAAGTTGATCCTTTTAGGTAAACAATGCACACTCTTTGTTTTACCATGCCTTAAAAATATCACATGTTGGAATAAACAAACCTTAATCCCCTATTAACACTGCAAATACTAAAAATAAGATAAAATTATTTGGAGAAAGAAGGTTGTTTTTTGGAGTTAAAAGAGACTTCCTGTAAGAAGACAAACAACTCAATAGAACATGGGAAAGAGACTTGACATTTCTTAAAAGAAGTGATACAAATGGCCCACAAGCCAGTGAAAAGATTCTCATTGTCATTAGTCATTAAGGAAATGCAAGCTAAAACCACGACTACATACCACTTCACACCCACTAGGATGGTCATAATTTTAAAAAATAGAAAATAAGTGTTGTTAAGTATGTAAAGAAACACAGCACATTGCTGGTAGAAGTGAAAAATGATATAGCTGCTGTGGAAAATGCTTTCCTTTCAAGGCATCTCAATAAGTTAAATCATAACCCCCAGCAATTTCATCCTAGGTATATGCCCTTGAGAACTGAAAACAGGTGCACAAATAAAAACTTGCACATTAATGTTTTCAGCAGCACAAGTCACCATAGCCAGAAGGTGGAAGCAACCCTCATGCCCATTAAGCAGCTGAATGAATAAACAAAATATGGGATACAGTGGAATATTATTCAGCCTTGAAAAGAAAGGACTGATACACGCTGCAACATGGATGACCCCCGGACGCACTATGTTAGGTGAGAGAAGCCTAACGCAAAAGGCCACTGTAATAGAATATTTCACAAGTTCTATCTTGACCCAATTTTGAGTCAAGCTAAAACTTGGCTAAAAGTCTTGCTGCCCCTTTGTGGACAGTTTGCTAACTCTCCATCCCGGCGACTTCACACCTCAGGTTCTTGTTGTTCACGGGTGCTATCCTGTCTTATTTCACAAATGCTGTCTTGATCCTGTTTTGAGGTCATGGTAGTAAAATCATATTTCACAAGTGCTGTCTTGACTCAGTTTTGAGGTCATGTCTACACCTCTCAATTTCCCTTCATGGGCAGTTTGCTAAGGCTCCACCCTAGCCACTTCCTTTCTTGGGCTGTAGCACTCTGGATTTCTGTTCATACACACTCAACTGCAAGAGGCCCCAAGGTACCCACAGCCAGGGACTGGCTCTTCTTCCTGGGGCCCATGGAATTATTCAGAATACCCAATCTTTAGGAAGCCCACAACACCCAGCTAACCCCACCCTGTTTGTCATACATAAGCTGCTTCTACAGTTCCAGCTTGCTGTTACCCTGTCCCCAGGTGTGGTCCTGCATGGTAGCGTTTTTGAGTGTCCGGCCATGCAAAGGAACTGTAATTATACCTTATATCATATAATCACAAAACAGCCACATACTGTATAATTCCATTTGTATGAAATACCTATAGTAGGCAAATCCATACAATAGGGAGCAGACGGCCGGGCGTGGTGGCTCATGGCTGTCATCCCAGCAGTTTGGGAGGCTGAAGCTTGTGGATCACTAGAGCCCAGGAGTTCGAGACCATCCTGGGCTACATAACAAAACCTCATCTCTATTAAAAAAAATACAAAAAAATTTAGCCAGGCATGGTGGCCTGTGCTTGTGGTTCCAGCTACTAGGGAGGCTGAGGTGGGAGGATCACTTAAGCCCAGGAGGTGGAGGTTGCAGTGAGCTGAGATTGTGCCACTGCACTCCAGCCTGGGCAACAGAGCAGGACCCTGTCTCAAAAACAAACAAACAAACAAAAAACACAGTAGACAGCAGATTTGTGGTTGCCTGGGCTGTGAGGAAAAAGAGTAGAGAATGACTTCTTAATGGGTACAGAGTTCCCATTGGGATGATAAAAATGTTCTGAAATTAGGTAGTAGTGATGGCTGCACAACACCATGAATGTTCTTAATACCAAAAATGGCATATTTTATTATGTGTATTCTACCACAATAAAAAACTGCAAGTCCAAAAATAAGACGGGGTCTAAGAAAAGAGAATGCAAGTACATTTAAAAATATCCTAATTTTCGGCAGGGCGCGGTGGCTCGTGCCTGTAATCCTAGCACTTTGGGAGGCCGAGGTGGGAGGATCACAAGGTCAGGAGATCAAGACTATCCTGGCTAACACGGTGGAACCCCGTCTCTACTAAAGATACAAAAAATTAGGCTGGCATGGTGGCGGGCACCTGTAGTCCCAGCTACTCGGGAGGCTGAGGCAGGAGAATGGCTTGAATCCGGAAGGCAGAGCTTGCAGTGAGCCGAGATCGTGCCACTACACTCCAGCCTGGGCGAAAGAGCGAGACTCCATCTCAAAAAACAAAAAAAATTCCTAATTTTCCAGTGGAATTGTCTACCAAAGGAAAAAAAAAAGAATATATAAAATAAAATATTCTAATTCCCTGAGTACAAGAAAACAAAGTTTTATCAATTTCTCTAAGTGCGCATGACTGATTTTTCTAAAAATAACCTGACTTTGTTGTCTAAAGTAGAAAAAGTAAATAGATCTGGTTGTGTTAATGTATTTATCAAAAAATAAATAAGTTGGCATGGTGGCTCATGCCAGTAATCCCAACACTTTGGGAGGCTGAGGTGGGAACATCGCTTGAGCTCAGGAGTTTCAGACCAGCCTAAACAACATAGTGAGACCTTGTCTCTACAAAAAATTTAAAAATTAGCCAGGCGTGGCGGCACATACCTATAGTGTCAGATACTTGGGAGGCTGAGGTGGGAGGATTGCTTGAGTCCAGAAGGTGGAGGTATAGTGAGTGAGTCATGATCACAGCACTGCACTCCAGCCTGGGTGACACAGCGAGACCCTGTTTTGGTAAATAAATAAACAGAACCCCTATATATCAAACAGACTGGTAAAAATTGAAGACTGACAAGACAAATGTTGGCGGGGACGTGAAGTAGCCTGGATTCTCATCTGTCATTGGTGGGAACGTAAAATGGCACACCCACTTTACAAAAAGCCTGACAGTTTCTTCTGAAAATAAACAAATGCCTATCTTATGACCCACAAATTCAATTCCTAGGTATTCACCCAAGATAAAGGAAAACAAATGTCCCCAAAAAGACTTGTACAAGGATGTTCATAGCTGCTTTATTCCTAAGAGTGGCAAACCGGAAATAGCCCAGCTGGCCATCAGTTAAAGAATAAATAACTAGCTGTATTCTCCACACAATGGACTACTATTCAGAAATAAAGAGAATCAGATTACTGATGCACACAATAGCATGAATGAATCCCAAAACATTATATTGAGAAAAAGAAACCTTACGCAAACAATACATACTGTATTACTCCATTGATATAAAGTTCTACAACTGGGAAAACTAATCTGTGGTGGAAAAATTTCAAAACAATGGTTGTTTCTGGGGGTTGGGGGTGGAGAGTCATTGGATCAGCTATGAAGGAATTTTCTGTGGGTGATGGTGATGTTCAGTGTCTTGATCATGGTTTAGGTTGCATGTGTATATACGTGCTGAACCTCATGAATTAGTACACTTAAGATTTGTGCATTTCATTTTTTGTAAATTTTACCTCAAAAGAAACAAAAACAAACCGTACAAATATTGAACTGTAGTTGATGATATGCACGTTGAAATTTTGGGGGAGAAAATATACTGATGTCTACAAGTTACTTGGAAATGTATACAAAATAAGATGGATTGTTAGATGGAAAGAGAGATGGATAGAAGGAGCAGTATACGCTGAAGTAAGAAGAGGAAAATGTTAATGGTAGAATATAACGAATGTGTACATGGATGTTCACTGACATATTGTTCCCTTTTTGTGTGCATTTGGAAATATTTATAATAAACTGTAGTGGGAAAGCAATAATAAGTAAAGAAATAACAAAATATACATCATCAAACTCATCCTTCTTACTGTTTGGAGTCTTAAAACTTGGCAAGGAAATTGGACAGACATTTTTTTCAGCAAGCCAAAGACCCCATATTCTAAGAATGATTTTTCTTTGTCTAAAACTCTCAGTGATCACCATGAGCAACAACAAAGCTTCTTTGTCAGTCTTGACTGTGCTGACTTCATGACAGCTGGGCCAAATGCTGGGAGCCAAAGTCTCTTGGTATCAATTACTAAGCTTTAATAGCCAATTACAGTGTGAGCAGATGACACTCTCTCATTTGAATGAATTAGTATTAATTCTTTGTTGCCTGGGAGTAACCACTCTGCAATGTCAGTCTCAACTTCCTTTCCCAGCCAATATCTGATGGTGGTCTTTTTATCTCCATGTTTTTTCTTCTTCCTTTTTTTTTTTTAAATTATACTTTAAGGTCTAGGGTACACACGCACAACGTGCAGGTTTGTTACATAGGTATACATGTGCCATGTTGGTTTGCTGCACCCTTTAACTCGTCATTTACATTAGGTATTTCTCCTAATGCTATCCCTCCCCCAGCCCCCCACCCCACGACAGGCCCATGGTCTTGATCTCCCTGACCTTGTGATCCGCCCGCCTCAGACTCCCAAAGTGCTTGATCTTCTAGAATTTTTATAGTTTCAGGTTTTAGATTTGAGTTGGTTTTTGCATAAGGTGAGAGATGAGGATCCAGTTTCATTCTTCTACATGTGGCTTGCCAATTATCCCAGCACCACTTGTCGAAAAGTGTGTCCTTTCCCCACTGTATCTTTTTGTTTGCTTTGTCCAAGATCAGTTGGCTGTAAGTATTTGGGTTTATTTCTGAGTCCCTATTTTGCTCCATTGGTCTATGTGCCTATTTTTATACCAGTACCATGCTGTTTTGGTGACTATGGCCTTGTAGTGTAGTTTGAAATCAGGTAGTGTGACACCTCCAGATTTGTTCTTTTTGCTTAGCCTTTCTTTGGCTATGTGGGGTCTTTTTTGGTTCCATATGAATTTTAGAATTGTTTCTTCTAATTCTGTGAAGAATGATGGTGGTATTTTGATGGGAATTGCATTGAATTTGTAGATTGCTTTTGGCAGTACGGTCATTTTCACAATATTGATTCTATTCATCCATAAGCATGGGATGTGTTTCCATTTGTTTGTGTTGTCTATGGTTTCTTTCAGCAGTGTTTTGTAGTTTTCCTTGTGGAGGTCTTTTGCCTCCTTGGTTAGGTATATTTCTACCTTTTTTTTTTTTTTGCAGCTATCGTAAAAATGGTTGAGTTCTTGATTTGATTCTCCGCTTGGTCCACTGTTGGTGTATAGAACAGCTACTGAATTGTGTACATTGATCTTGTATCTGGAAACTTTGCTGAATTCTTTTATAATTTCTAGGAGCTTTCTGGAGGAGTCTTTATGGTTTTCAAGGTAAAGGATCATATTGTCAGCAAACAGTGACAGTTTAAATTCCTCTGTACCTATTTGGATTCCCTTTATTTTATTTTAGGTTTATTTATTTATTTTTTTTTTTGAGATGGAGTTTCACTCCTATTGCCCAATCTGGAGTGCAAGGGCCAGAGCCTCAGGTCTAGAACTGGGAGGGGAGCAGAGGGAAAAGATGAGTTGCAGTGAGCGTGGGAGAACTGCAGTAAAGTCACTGAGAGACATCTATCTGGCTGGAAGAGAAAGCTTGAATCTTTATTTTACATAATGTTTTACCTAACACTACTTTTACATCAAACAATGGGAAGAATCTTATGAATGTTTTCCATTAAATTGTGGGAGTCCACACATCTCTTGGCACTACCATTGCAAGTCAGCTAGATCTCCACACCTGCACCAAGCATGTCAGCTACATTTTTATCTGCTTTATATAGAAGAATAATGCTTTCAATCTTATTGATTAAAGGATTCTATGGCTTTAAAAAAGATTCCCTGCAATTGGCAATGGGGTGTGATTGAAGAATTCTGAGCCAGGAAGCAGGTCAGTTTCATTTTAGCAGAAGCCTCTGATAGCAGAGTGGGGAGGCAGGCAGTGTTGCATGGTGTCTCAGTCTCTGGCTTTAGGATCATGCAGATTTAGATTTGAATTCTGCCTTTACCATTCACCATCTGTGTGTTCCCATGTAAGTCACTTCATTTCCCTGAGTTTTAATCAGAAAACAGGAATAATAATGGCTCTCTCATGACAGTGTGGTAAAGGTTAAATGACAGAATGCTTATGAAGTGCTTGATCTGTGAACAGTATTTCTTACAGTTATTTTTATGGACTGAAGTGGTTCAAGACTGAAAGGAGGGAAAATAGTGGACTATTGCAACAGTCCAAATATGAGAGGAAGAGGACCTGCATGAAGGCATTAACCATACGGATGGAGAGAAGAGGGCAGATACAGGAGATAACAACACACTAGGACTTGGGAACCAACTGGATTTGGGAGGCGAGGAAGGGGGAAGGAAAGGCAGAATCAAAGATGATTCATATAATTGTAACTTGTATTACTTGCTGTTCATAAGTGTAGAAATACCAGATGATGTTATTTCTGGCAAAAAATGATGACTTACTTCACTTAGTGACCTAGAGGAAGTGTAATTGAGAAATCATTATCTGATAACCCCATAAATACTGGTTAAGACTGTAGGTTCTTCTCCTTGCTTTGTGGTTAAAGAGAGAGAGAGACTGCTAGTATTTGACTAAGTTCTTGATTTGGGAGAAGTGTGTGTGTGTCTGTGTTTGTGTGTGTGTGTGTGCATGTTTTGAATTCAGGGAAGATTTATCTGGCAATGGTGGATTACAGGTTAAAAAAGTCACAGGCTGGGTGCGGTGGCACACGCCTGTAATCCCAGCACTTTGGGAGGCCAAGGCAGGCGGATCACAAGGTCAAAAGATCGAAACCATCCTGGCCAACAGGGTGAAACCCTGTCTCTACTAAAAATACAAAAATTAGCTGGGCGTGGTGGCGCACACCTGTAGTCCCAGCTACTCAGAGGCTGAGACAGGAGAATCGCTTGAATCTGGGAGGCAGAGGTTGCAGTGAGCTGAGATTGTGCCACTGCACTCCAGCCTGGCGACACAGTGAGACTCCGTCTCAAAAATAAATGAATAAATAAATAAATAAATAAATAAATAAATAATCACAAAGGCCACAAAAACTGCCTTACTAATTTGTTTCAGTTTATGCTGCAATGTGTGCAGATTCTGGGGTTTAAACTCCTGAGTCCTTTGCTTACAAACACCAGCATTTGTCTCATAACTGCTAATTTGAGATTGGCATCCTACTCTTAGTTACTTTCTTATATCACCCTGTAGTGATTTTTCCTTCTAGGGAGGAATAGATGAAATCAACGAGCTGTGACTAATATCTGCTGTTCTCTAGCAAGGGCCTCTGTGCTCATTCTCCAGAAAATACAGTATGTAGCAACAAATGAAGAGAGTAAAATTTTCTGTCAAAAGAACTGCTTGCCTGGAAATTATGCCAGCTTACTTTTTTAATGTTCTGATAAGAGAGAAGAAAAATTGCTCCTTAAGTTCCTGAGTGAGGCAAGAGCATTGTGTAGTAAGCACACAGTTCCCCTTTCTGTGAAGGGATCGAAATCTGTATGCTGGCTGAGCCCAGGGTTCTCTCCCACTCCTTCAGAGTTCTTCTCTGGAAGACCAGATTTCCTGGCAGCTTCTGGAACACAGCAGGCCCCTGCTATGGTTTGAATGTCTCTATGGTATGTTCCTCTCCATTGGAACTGAAGTCCCAAGGTGATAGTATCGAGAAGTGGAGCCTTTGGGAAAATGATTGTTATGGGGGCTCTGCCTTCATGAATGGGATTAATCCCCTTATTAAAGAGGCTTCAGAGACTGACTGACCTTTTGGCCCTTTGCCTTTCACCACGTGAGGATGCAGCAAAAGACGTCACCTATGAAGCAGAGAGCAAAGCTTCACCAGACGCTGAATCTGCTGGTGCCTTGATCTTGGACTTCCCAGACTCCAGAACTATGAGAAATAAATTTCTATTATATATAAATTACTCAGTCTAAGGTATTTTGTTATAGCAGCAGAAGGGACTAAGACAGCCCCCAGCTAATACTTACGAAACTGCATTGAATGAACTCCTTTGAGCCGTGTCACAAGTTTTCCCTTCTGCATGGCCAGCCCCACTGATTCTGCCCCTGGTCCTTGTTGACATTTCCTCCAATAATGTCCTGCCCTCTGGCAGAAGGCTCACCTTTTTGGCACTGCATCATCTCTCACATGCTTCAAGGGACACCTTTGAGTGGGGATGCCACATTGGCCTGCCTGCTCTTACATGTCATAGGCCCAGTAACCTGAGTCACAGACGTGGGAACATACTCCTGGAAGAAGCCTATGTGAAGAGCCCCTACAGACAACACTGCAGCTAGAATGCTGTATGCCCCTTAAGTCTTGCTACAAGTGGTCAAAGCCAGTTTTGAGATTCTGCTTTATTTTTTAAAACATTGATTCATTTACTCTTAGTCACATTCTTTAAAAATAATAGATGTGGAGGGATACAAAACCTGGAAAGTTGATACCTAGAGGTCTGTACTATCTTAGCCTGTCCATCTGTAGGTTTAGTCACACTTGATCACAAATTCCCTCATCTCAAGTGAAATAAAGATAGACTTATTGTCATAAATGATAGTTCTTGCCATTCTGGTGCTGCAAATAGTTTGTTCAGGGCTGTTGCACCAGAAGTTTGGGAGTTGGATAGGAAAAGACATTGATCCATTTTGGGAAGTCATCCTTGAAGTCTTCCTTGATGTTAATCTGGATTCTTGACAAAGTTCTCCTGTACCTTCTTTTGAAAAAGCAAATGGTTTATTTTTAAATTTAATTTTTATTTTTGGAGACAGAGTCTCATTCTCTTGCCCAGGCTGGAGTGCAGTGGCGTGATCTCAGCCACTGAATCTCTACCTCCCGGGCTCAAGTGATTCTCATGCCTCAGCCTCCCGAGTATCTGTGATTACACTAGTGTGCCATCATGCCCAGCTAATTTTTGTATTTTTAGTGGAGACAAGGTTTCACCATGTTGCCTGGCTGGTCTCAGACTTCTGACCTCAAGTGAGCTACCACACCTAGTCAGAAAAGCACATAGTTTTGCTAGTGCTCCCCACTCATGCAATGTGGCATAATAGTTATTCTTTGACATTCTAAGCAGAGCAGATGACTCAACACGGTGCTCCCAGGAGCTCTTCCAAGATTAAAATATTTCCATAGATGGATAGATGAATGGATATATAATAAAGCAAGTACAGTAAAATGTAAGTGGTAGAATCTAGGTGGTGGGTACATGGATGTTCATCTGATAATATTTTAAACTTAGATTTATCTATTAGAAAATTTTCATAATAAAACATTGGAAAAAAGAAAAAAGCCCTTAACAGTGCCTGTTGCTGTCAGTGGCTATTATCAGCTAAGACCTTTAGCACTAAGAGTTAAGAAGAAATTACTTAGGCAGATATTGAGGGTATTGGTAAGGTTTTCCTTTTAATAAAAAGCAGCCCTCAAATCATTTTCTTTTCTAACAAAGAACAGCCTGTAAAATTGAGCTACAGACATGGACAAGCAAGCTGGAAGCTTGCACAGGTGAATGCCAGCAGTTGTGCCAATAGAAAAATACTATGTGGGACTAGGCAAGTTCAAAATGGTGGCTCCATCTTCCCTTCTCTTTGTCAGTCATGTGTATAGTAAGGAGCAGACAAGATGGCGCTGGCCAAGTGGAAAGCCCATTTCCATAATAAGATTAGGGTGGGGAAACCAGCCTTCCCTGTGGGCTATGTAAACATCAAACCTGATTGAACGGATCAGTGGGCTTTACCAAGCCTGCCTATAAAATCTGCTATGGTCTGCCACTTTTCCCTTTTTCGGACACCTCTCTCTCACAAGAAGCTGCTCTTCTCTCTCCTTTCTTCTGCCTATTAAACTTTCTGCTCCTTAACCCACCCACATGTGTTTGTGTCCTTAATTTTCTTGGCACGAGACAATGAACCCTGGGTATTTACCCTAGACAACAATGCCGCTTCATCTGGGGGCTCATGCAGGATCAGAACCAAAATGGAAAGTATAAACATCAGAGCAGTAAGTGTGGAGCAAACCTCAAATCTGACCTTTAATATCAAGGCTCTCAGACTCCATTTAAAAATGCTTCAAACCAGTTTCCTTTCATGGAACTCAATCGCTTAGTTCCTCTGGTTCCATGGCTGGGGGGGTCACACTCCCAGCCATTGCATGGGGCTGGGAGAGGTCCTGGAGCAACTAAGGATTTCTGGCCAGGGCACACCCTGGTGTTATCCAGAGGCTTCTGGGTTGAACCCAGCCTTTGGCCACCCATCTGAGTGCTGGCAAAAAGGATCTCTAGCTATCCTGTTACAAAATTTTCCTCCTCTTCTATCCATGGTCACCATGTCTCCTATTTTCTCTGCATGCAATGTGCAGGAATTTTTATAGTTCAGGGAAGTAATCCTGTTAGGAAAGATCAGGAAATGCTGTAGTAACTGGAATATAGCTCAGGGGAATGCCATTGTGATTTCCTAGGAACAGAAAGTCTTCTCCCACAGTGAGCATTTCACCCTCTGCCCTTGATCTGGAAAGCACATGGCATCTCCAGGTCACTCTCTGCCCTTGAGCTGGAGAGCACGTGGCATTTTAAGGTCAATATCGCCACCTAGTGAACTAAAAATCATCTCCATGAGGCGTTGTCGGTCCTTTGACATAACACTGTACCTTCCCACTTCTTCTCCCATTTTGCACCTCTCTACTAGAGACCAAGCTTTATGCTGCTTCTGTGGATGGGAAAACTCTGCATTCAACAATTAGGAGCAAAATGTCCTCCAGAACCAAATTTTAGTTCCAATACTGTCCCATCAGCAGGAAAATCACTATTAGGTCCCTATGTTCCTTTAAGTCACCTATTTATGTCTCCAGTTAAAGCAATACTTATTAAGGGGATTTTAAGTCCAGAAGTTAATGAGAACCATTCTCTAGGGGGAAATGCTTCAGCATGGGCCATAATAGCAAAATATGGAGTTCAATCTAATACCCTCCAAAGGCAACGACCTTTTTTTTTTTTTTTTTGAGATGGAGTTTTTGCTCTTTCACTCAGGATGGAGTGAAGTGGTCCAATCTTGGCTCACTGCAACCTCTGCGCCCTGGGTTCAAGTGATTCTCCCCCCTCAACCTCCTGAGTAGCTGGAATTATAGGTGCCTGCCACCAAGACAGGTTAATTTTTTTTTTTTTTTTTGAGATGGAGTCTTGCTCTGTCGCCCAGGCTGGAGTGGAGTGGTGTGATCTCGGCTCACTGCAAGCTCCACCTCCCAGGTTCACACCATTCTCCTGCATCAGCCTCCCAAGTAGCTGGGATTACAGGCGCCCACCACCACGCCCGGCTAATTTTTTTTTTTTTTTTAGTAGAGATGGAGTTTCACTGTGTTAGCCAGGATGGTCTCGATCTCCTGACCTCGTGATCCGCCCACCTCGGCCTCCCAGAGTTCTGGGATTACAGGCGTGAGCCACCATAACCGGCCTAAGACTGGCTAATTTTTGTATTTTTAGTAGAGATGGGGTTTTGCCATGTTGGCCAGGTTGGTCTCGAACCAACCTGGGTGACTTCAGGTGACCCACATGACTCAGCCTCCCAAAGTGCTAGGATTACAGGCATGAGCCACTGTGCCCAGCTCCAAAGGCAACTATTACGTAGTCCTTCCCAATATCCATTTTTCAGGGAGGCACACAGATCACACAAGTCTAGGAAGTCAAAGGGAAATCACAGGCAGAGGACTAGAGTCACATGGGTAAGCGTGACTAATCTCAATTGCTTAGTTCCTCTGGTTCCATGGCTGGGGGGCGGTCACACTTACAACCATGGGTGGCGTGTTCAACAAGGTGCCAGGACCTAGGAACCAAGGAGGGAAAACAGCAGAGAGGACGCCCCCATTGTCTTTTCCTCCACACTTGGTCACACCAAAAGGAAGGAGACAAAAGGGATGCCTTTTTCTTGCTTCTCTTTCTAAATGGGTAACAAACCATCTTCAGCTTGCACCCCTCTGGGGTGCATCCTGAAGCACAGGGACTCCTTTAACCCTGAGACTTTGAAGGAAAAGTGGCTCACTTTCTTTTACACAAGGGCATGGCCTTCTTACTAGACCTTTGCAAGCATTGCACAATCAACCCAGCTCTTGTAGTAGTCATATCAGACAGGCCTATAGAGAATGATTCCCCAAAATTGGAGAAGCAACTTCTGGGGGAACCATCTGAGGATCCCCCTAACTTGGGGCCCCCTAAAGTTCCCTTATCATTACAGGACCTTAGGTAAATAAAGGGAGACTTAGGCCGATTTTCTGACAACTCTGATAGTTATATAGAAGCTTTCCAAAATTTAACTCAGGTGTTTAACCTCTCATAAAGTGATATTATGCTGCTCCTAAACCAAACCCTAACCGTAGCTGAAAAACAGGCAGCTCTGCAGGCAGCAGAGCATTTCAGAGATGAGCAATATGTTTCCTACAGCAGGCCAAAAGGGAAAGGAGAAAATAGAGAATGTGAAGAAATAGGGGAAACACCATTCCCAATAGGAAGAGAGGCAGCACCTCTTGACAATCCTAATTGGAACTCCCAGACTTTTCTGTGGTAATTTTCCTTCTTTCGTTGTTTAAAATGGCTTCTATCTCTTCTTTTATAATGTTCTTCCAACCTGGGAAGAGCTAATTTCCTCAAACCTTAAAATGCTTGGCTTAGAGTTGAGCTAGGGGTAAAGGAACCCAGAAGCCTGACATGCTGAAAAAAGGGTAAAAGTTATGTGTGTGTTTTGTTTGTTTTGTTTTGTTTTTTACCAGTTGAGCTTTTGGCTTCTCTTTCCCTGAGTAAACTGGTAAAAGGGGAAATAAGGATTATTGTTTATATTCTCTATATAAAGTTTTAATTAGTGAAAAAGGATTTGTGCGGTTGGTCTTAAGCTGTAGCCAATCTGTTGTGTTTTGTGTGTCTTTCTGCATGGTTTTGTCAAAAGAAAGGGTACCTTAGGATGCAGGGCCAGGACCGCATAAGACTGCTGTTCAAGCCAGCCTAACAAAATGATCAGTAACAAACTTGGCTACAGGCCTCCATCTTGTTTCGTGTCCTTGGAAACATGACCTGTAACCACGTGGCAATACTTTTAGTCTCCATTTTACAATGGTGGCTGTCTTCTTGTGCTAAGTCAGTTCCTGGGTGGCGGCCACAAAATCAGATAAGCCAGTTTATCAATCTGGGTGGTGCCAGATGATCCATCAAGGCCAGGGTTTACAAAATATCTTAAGTGCTGATCTTGAGAGCAGCTTAGGGAGGGTCAAAATCTTGTAACCTCCAGCTGCATGACTTCTAGGCCATGGTTTCTAATCTTGTGGCTAGTTTCTTGTCTGGTCCCCAGGCAAGAGGGAAGTATACCTTAGGAAGGGGCTGTTATCATCTTTGTTTTAAACTATAAACTGCAAACCAGGGTTCTCCCAAAGTTGGTTCGGCCCATGCCGAGGGATGGGCAAGGACAGCTTGCAGGCTGGAGCAAGATGGAGTTACTTGGGTTGGATCTCTTTCACTGTCTCAGTCACAGTTTTGCAATGATGGTTTCAAAAGCTGCTTACCACCCCTTTGAAAATACCTCATACACTGGAGGTTAAGTTATAACCTAATTAAGGCTTGTTGGTTTCACCTGTGGGGTTACTTTTTGTAAAGTTCCAAAGCTGAAAATCTTAATTGTTTTGCATGGCTGAAGTCGAGTAACAAAAGATTTAAAAGGATTTTCTTAAATAGTGCTCAGCTTAATTAAAAATGGATAGCCAAGTTATAGGTATATTTAAAAGGCATTCACGTTTTTCTCTTCTTGGATCTTATTTTTCTGGAAAAAGGTTTTTTCTTCTCAGTCGACTGAATTATTTTTCTCCATTTTTTTGTCTTTCCACTCTTAATGCACACATGAGAGGCCCTAAGATAACTTCTGGTAGCCTGGGACTCCTTGGGAAAAACAGAGGAGGCACCATAGATTCCATTTTGGGGGAAAAACCCCCTATTTTCCTCATGTAACCCCAGGAATTGAAAGTGGATGGATCCCTCTCAAAATCAAAGGCTCTGTTCTGTTTTGCATTGTGTTATCTGATGGTTTTAAGTTTTGGGGGTATCAAAAGTTACCTTGCAGTATGAGAGAGCTTTGGTGTGTAATAACTAGGTAGGAAATATACTTTAAGGGATGGCTAATAGTGTTCATGGAGGGATACTTAACTCTTTGCACATTTGAATCAGAGAAGCATGCTCTTGTCCACCTGGAAGATATGGAAACATCCCCACTCCCCATTAAGAGATGAGACTCCATGGAGGATGGGCTAATTACAAAACAAGCCAATTGGCTTTGGGTTGCCTTGCAATGATATGCAAGGTAGAAGCACTGCACTGCCTCCTCCTGTAGCATCTCCCTCATTCTGGGGATCCAAGATCCAGTATAAAATGGCACCCTTAATTTTGGGGATCTGTCTTTGCCTTCAGCTGTGCCTGCTTATTAGGCCCTAAAAATGCATTCCTTCCTGTTCCTCCAAGGGCTTTACCCTGAAGCAGGTAATCCAATTAATAAACTTACAAATGAAAAATCTCAGAAGTGCTGAATCTTCTGTCTGTCTGTGTATATATGTGTTGTGTGTAATGTCTATAAAAAGAGCTCTAATTGATTGGCTTAAAGAAAAATGAGTGCTTAAATCAAGTATTTTTAAAGAAAAAATAAAAAGCTGTAATGCTTTTTAGTTCATATGACTTTAATCTTTAAGAAATAAAAATAGTCTTAAGAATTATTGGTAAAATACAAGGGTCATAAACATGTAAATAGGTGGTCTAAATCATGTAAGTCAGATACTAGGTTTGCTAAATGTTCCAAGGTTGTAAACTACCTGCTTTACAACTTGGTAAGGCCTGGGGACATACGAAATTAACCACACCCCTAAGTATGCTGGAAAAAGTCAGACTTTATCTATGCCTAATACATAATCAAAACAACCTACCAGGTTTCACAGTAAAGTTAAAAATTACCCAAAGTTACCACCATAATGATATAGGAGTTAAGAATGTTTCACGTGTCCGTGTGAAGAGACCACCAAACAGGCTTTGTGTGAGCAACAAGGCTGTTTATTTCACCTGGGTGCAGGCGGGCTGAGTCCAAAAAACGAGTCAGCAAGGGTGGTGGGATTATCATTAGTTCTTATAGGTTTTGGGATAGGCGGTGGAGTTAAGAGCGATGTTTTGGGGACAGGGGGTGGATCTCACAAAGTAACTTCTCAAGGGTGAGGAGAATTACAAAGAAAATTCTTAAGGGTGGGGGAGATTATAAACAACATTGATCAGTTAGTGTGGGGCAGAAACAAATCACAATGGTGGAATGTCATCAGTTAAGCTATTTTCACTTCTGTGGATCTTCAGTTGCTTCAGGCCATCTGGATGTATATGTGCAGGTCACTGGGGATATGATGGCTTAGCTTGGGCTCAGAGGCCTGACAAAGAAGAAATTACTTAGGCAGATAGTGAGGGTATGGAAGTGCTTGGTAAGGTTTTCCTTTTAATGAAAAGCAGCCCAAATCATTTTCTAACAAAGAGCAGCCTGTAAAGTTGGGCCTCAGACATAGACAAGCAACTGGGAGCTTGCAGGAATGAATGCAGGTAGGAAAGAACTAGCTGGGACTAGACATGTTCAAAATGGTGGCTCCATCTTCCCTTATCTGTCAGCCACTGTACAGTAAGGAGCAGACAAGATGGCACCGGCCCAGGGGAGAGTTCATTTGCATAATAAGATTAGGGTGGGATGAGGAGCCTTCCCTGAGAGCTATGTAAACGTCACACCTGATTGAACCAATCTGTGAGCCCTATGTAAATCAGACACTGCCTTCTCAAGCCTGACTATAAAATCCAGCACATTCATTGCTGGCCAGTTTTTTTTTTTTGCTCTCAGAAGCCCCCTCTCTCTCACTAGAAGAGTTGTTTTCCTTTCTCTTTCTTCTGCTTATGAAACCTCTGCTCCTAAACTCCTCATGTGTGTCTGTGTCTTAAATTTTCCTAGCATGAGATGATGAACACTGGGTATTTACCCCAGACAACATAGCCACTTCAATAACATGTAATTTAAACTACTAAAAATAAATTTATATGCAAGATGTGTAAAAACAGTAGAATGTATTTTCTAGTAAAAGATTATGAGAAGGCATGGAAATGTACATTTTTCCTAGTCATAAAAGATTGTCTTAAGTTAGATAAGAAAGCTGAAGGTTTAAGCAAGTTATGGAAAGGTTGTAAAAATTAATCTTGCAAAAATTCCATGTGTAAACATTAACTAAATTCAAAAGGGAATTATATGGTCATTTCATAAATTAAGCATTGAAATAAAGGTTGTCTTAAAACGCTAATCTGCCCTTTAGCAAAAGGGTTATAAAAGGTTTGTAAAGATTTCACCTCATGGTCAAATTGGTTAAGATGAAATGGAATTGTCTATGAGGTTTCATCAAAAAATTGGGGTTAACAATAAACTAATGCAAGGGTAAAATTTTGCTTTGAATAGGATTTTCATGTAATAGTAAAGGCTAATAAAAGGTTTTTGCCTTTTGAGTCATCATTTTGGAAAAATAAATAATTTATTGTAATCTGGAATTCTACTTCATAAAATCAAGTGTTTTAAACCTCTAATATTTAACAGCCTCCCCAAAATCAAACTTCAAATTTCAAAATTGCCTTTCCTGATGTCTAGCTTTCTGGATGGTTCAGAGGGCCCCTGAAGCATCCAGAGAGGTGGTGAACAGAATTATTTGATATGTTTAGTTAGATGGGATTGCCAAAATGATGTTCAATCTTTAAGTTATATTTTGGTGAATAATACTAATATATGTTCCAAAATTGGGGATTTCTAAAATTCTAATGTCTGAATATATGCTATCATCATAATTAAGGTTGTTATGTTAAGTCATTGTAAACCATAGAGATAACCAAACTTCTTTATCAGTTGCATTTTTAACTGTACCCTGGAAATTTTTTCACTTGCAGACAATTGTCTTGCTTTGTTCCTTCTGAAAAGATGATTTATAGTCAAGCTATAAGATGTTAACAGGTGCTCTCAAATGCAGGTTTCTAATAGCTTTGAAGATTATAACATTGGAATATAAAAAAAAGTACAGAACTCATGAAAAGCTAAAATGTTCACAAATATCAACAAAACCAAGAGTTAACCAAGTGAACTCAGAAAGCTAAAGCAACCTTTTCAACTTTTGCTTGGAATATTGCTGATCCTTGTTTTGTTTTTCAGAGTCAAGGAAACTTATTTTGAACTAGTTACAGCCTGTAATAATAATAATACCTCATGAGTAAGGTATACTCCTGTTCATAAAATTTGGAGCATGTTTATTTCTCTCTGTCTGGTTCCTCTGGAATTTGGAAACTATCTGTGAGTATTATTAACTTATGGCAACATGGTTGTTGGCATCAGTGCAATAAGAATCCATTTTTCTTTTGCAACAGGACACCATTGGAAAAAAAAGTGCTTATTTTACCAGTGCTTTGACTGGAAGCATGTGTTTCCCTTTAAGGAATCGAGCTTGACATGCAGAGCAAATAAAAGCCCCTTGGGGAAGACTGGCCTCATTCCTTGTCTACACAGTCCCCATACAGCGTTCCTGACCTGTTGTCAGTAAAGAATGTCACTTTCTAACAGGTCCAGGAGCTCCAAGTTTATCTTGAGAGGATCACCCAATTCACAGGCATTTGAGAATACAATCCCATGGCTGGGCTGGGCTTTAAAAATTCTTATTTCAGTTTCCCTGGGGAATAGAGTTCCATCAAACTCAACCCAAAAGGCCCATGTAGAAATAGTTATTCTTGCTGGACTTTATGCAAATAATCAGGTCAAGTATAAGACTAAAATTTATTCTATGAATAACATGGTCCTATCATAATTTGTTTTTACCAAAATGAGGACAACAAGGAGAAAAATTGTATTCCAAAACTTATACATTTGTCATTAAATTCTAGTCTCATTGTTTTTAAGTTTTTTTTGCTACATTTTAGACTAAACTTGCTTATTCCTGTGAATCAAATCATGATCTCCTGCAGCTCAGAAGAAACACAAAAGGATGGGTAATGTAAAAATCTGGATCAATATGCTAGTTCTGGGCAATTATCCTGAAAATCCTGCCAGGTAATGAAAGTTAGTAGGGTGTCCATAACCCAGAGGTTTCTTTGTTTGGGAAAATAAAGCCAAGGAACTTCATAAACCTCCAAAGGGAAATTGTGTATCTTGGAAAGTAAAATTTTAGATGGAAATAATCCACTATGCCACCCTTGCAGGAATTGCAATACTCACTCTACTATTTGCAGTAAAGCCATATATGATAGCACCTTCTAACTGAAATATTGGACAGAGAGTTTCCATTGTTGTAGCATTTTGCTTAATTATTATACTTATAGCAGGGATAATAGCTACCGATCAAGAAGTAAACATGAAGGTTTTACTATCACTGAGTCTGCCAAGATTTTTTACTGGCTTCGGTAATGTGTCACACCCTAGCTATGCAAAGAGGGTTATAAAGAAAATAAACTTTACATAAGAAGGGATCTTGTATATTAAATTCTTGTCCTAAAGAGAATTACTGGTTGTTTAAAAAGAGGGATGTTTAGGACAAGCCAGAAAGTCTAAGCATGTCATAAATGGTCTGTGAAAGTCATGAAGGGATCAATAATTGCAGGAAAGATTTCAGGTTAACACTAAAGTTATTCTAGTCACCCAAATCCAATGTCGCTTATCCTAAAAGAATGTTACTTTTATATTAATGTTTCAGCAGCATCTGGTGGAGGCAAACCAGTATCACAATCCATCAGAATAGGTGACTGCAATCAACCTCCAATGCTGCTGCACATAGAAACACATATGGACATGCCTTTCTTCTGTGGAACCTTAGACCAACCCCAGGAAGAGCCCTAGCTGCTGTTCCCCACATGACACCACTTTTCAGCAGGAAGTAGCCAGAAAGAGTTGTCGTCCAACACATCCTAACAGCAGTTAGGCTTACCACTCCTGAGGGGCAGAATGATACAGGAGTTAAGAACAAATTACTTACGCAGATATTGTGGGCACGGGAGTCCTTGGTAAGGTTTTCATTTTAATAAAAAGCAGCCCCAAAATCATTTTCTTTTCTAAAAAATAACAGTCTGTAAAATTGAGTTGCAGACATGAACAAGCAAGCTGGAAGCTTGCACAAGTGAATGCCAGCAGTTGTGCCAATAGAAAAATACTACATGGGACTAGGGATGTTCAAAATGGTGGCTTCATCTTCCCTTCTCTTTGTCAGCCACATGTACAGTAAGGAGCAGACAAGATGGTGCTGGCCAAGTGGAAAGCCCTTTTGCATAATAAGATTAGGGTGGGGTGACAAGCCTTCCTTGAGTGCTACGTAAATGTCAAACCTGATTGAGCCAGTCCATGGGCCCTACATAAATCAGACACTGCTTCCTCAAGCCTGCCTATAAAATCTGCTGCACTCCACTGCTTTTCTCTTTTTCGGACACCTCTCTCTTGCAAGGAGCTGCTCTCCTCTCTCCTTTCTTCTGCCTATTAAACTTTCCATTCCTTAATCCACCCACGTCTGTGCCCTTAATTTTCTTAGCATGAGATGACGAACCCTGGATATTTACCCTAGACAGTGATGCTGCTTCACCAGGAGATGTAGCCATGTGTTACTTGTATAATTAAAAATTAATTCAAAAAGGAAAAGAAAGAACATGTGTTTTGGGATTCAACAGGCCTATTTTGAATCTCAGTTCAGCAACTATCTTTGGGCAAGTTAACAGTTTTGTGTCTTAGTGTTCTCATTTGTGAAATGAGATATATTTATTTTATTTTAATTTTTTGAGACAGGGTCTCATTTTGTTACTCAAGCTGAGTGCTGTGGTGTGATCATGGCTCACTGAAGCCTTGACTCCTTGGGCTCGAGCAATTCTCTGCCTTAGCCTCCTGAGTAGCTGGGACTACAAGTGTGCACCACCATGGCCGGCTCATTTTTTTTATTTGTAGAGATGGGGGTCTCACTATGTTGGCCAGGCTGGTCTCAAATTCCTGGACTCAAGTGATCCACCCACCTTGGCCTTCCAAAATGCTAGAATTACAGGTGTGAGCCACTCACTGTACCCAGCCTGTACCTTTTTTTTTAGACACGGAATCTCACTCTGTTGCCCAGGCTGGAGTGCAGAGGCGCGATCTCAGCTCACTGCAAGCTCCGCCTCCCAGGTTCATGCCATTTTCCTGCCTCAGCCTCCCGAGTAGCTGGGACTAGAGGTGCCCATCACCACACCCAGGTAATTTTTGTATTTTTAGTAGAGACGGGGTTTCACCATGTTAGCCAGGATGGTCTCGATCTCCTGACCTCGTGATCCACCCGCCTCGGCCTCCCAAAGTGCTGGGATTACAGGCATGAGCCACCATGCCCAGCCAGCCCATATCTTATATTATTATAATATTATTAGTGTTTGGAGGATTGAAAGTATTATATAAATTGATTGGTACCTACCTAGTAGATATCCCATAAGTAGTAGTAGTTGTTATTACTGAGCCTTGAGAACAAAACTTAGTTTTGGGTTCATGGAGACATAATTAATGATATGACAATGCTTGTGAACAATAGAAGTTATAAAGCCCTGGTGGAGGAGCCAAGATGGCCGAATAGGAACAGCTCCGGTCTACAACTCCCAGCGTGAGCGACGCAGAAGACAGGTGATTTCTGCATTTCCATCTGAGGTACCGGGTTTATCTCACTAGGGAGTGCCAGACAGTGGGCGCAGGTCAGTGGGCGGGCACACCGTGCGTGAGCCGAAGCAGGGTGAGGCATTGTCTCACTCAGGAAGCACAAGGGGTCAGGGAGTTCCCTTTCCTAGTCAAAGTAAGTGGTGAAAGATGGCACCTGGAAAATCGGGTCACTCCCACCCGAATACTGCGCTTTTCCGATGGGCTTAAAAAACGGCTCACCAGGAGATTATATCCCGCACATGGCTTGGAGGGTCCTACGCCCACGGAGTCTCGCTGATTGCTAGCACAGCAGTCTGAGATCAAACTGCCAGGTGGCAGCGAGGCTGGGGGAGGGGCGCCCGCCATTGCCTAGGCTTGCTTAGGTAAATAAAGCAGCCGGGAAGCTCCAACTGTGTGGAGCCCTCCACAGCTCAAGGAGGCCTGCCTGCCTCTGTAGGCTCCACCTCTGGGGGCAGGGCACAGACAAACAAAAAGCAGTAACCTCTGTAGACTTAAATGTCCCTGTCTGACAGCTTTGAAGAGAGCAGTGGTTCTCCCAGCACACAGCTGGAGATCTGAGAATGGGCAGACTGCCTCCTCAAGTGGGTCCCTGACTCCTGACCCCCAAGCAGCCTAACTGGGAGGCACCCCACAGCAGGGGCAGACTGACACCACACACGGCCAAGTACTCCAACAGACCTGCAGCTGAAGGTCCTGTCTGTTAGAAGGAAAACTAACAAACAGAAAGGACATCCACACCAAAAACCCATATGTACATCACCATCATCAAAGACCAAAAGTAGATAAAACCACAAAGATGGGGAAAAAACAGAGCAGAAAAATTGGAAACTCTAAAAAGCAGAGCACCTCTCCTCCTCCAAAGGAACGCAGTTCCTCACCAGCAACGGAACAAAGCTGGATGGAGAATGACTTTGACGAGCTGAGAGAAGAAGGCTTCAGATGATCAAATTACTCTGAGCTATGGGAGGAAATTCAAACCAAAGGCAAAGAAGTTGAAAACTTAGAAAAAAATTTAGAAGAATGTATAACTAGAATAACCAATACAGAGAAGTGCTTAAAGGAGCTGATGGAGCTGAAAACCACGGCTTGAGAACTACGTGAAGAATGCAGAAGCCTCAGGAGCCGATGCGATCAACTGGAAGAAAGGGTATCAGCGATGGAAGATGAAATGAATGAAATGAAGCGAGAAGGGAAGTTTAGAGAAAAAAGAATAAAAAGAAATGAACAAAGCCTCCAAGAAATATGGGACTATGTGAAAAGACCAAATCTACGTCTGATTGGTGTACCTGAAAGTGACAGGGAGAATGGAACCAAGTTGGAAAACACTCTGCAGGATATTATCCAGGAGAACTTCCCCAATCTAGCAAGGCAGGCCAACATTCAGATTCAGGAAATACAGAGAACGCCACAAAGATACTCCTCGAGAAGAGCAACTCCAAGACACATAATTGTCAGATTCACCAAAGTTGAAATGAAGGAAAAAATGTTAAGGGCAGCCAGAGAGAAAGGTTGGGTTACCCTCAAAGGGAAGCCCATCAGACTAACAGCAGAGCTCTCGGCAGAAACTCTACAAGCCAGAAGAGAGTGGGGGCCAATATTCAACATTCTTAAAGAAAAGAATTTTCAACCCAGAATTTCATATCCAGCCAAACTAAGCTTCATAAGTGAAGGAGAAATAAAATACTTTACAGACAAGCAAATGCTGAGAGATTTTGTCACCACCAGGCCTGTCCTAAAAGAGCTCCTGAAGGAAGCGCTAAACATGGAAAGGAACGACCGGCACCAGCCACTGCAAAATCATGCCAAAATGTAAAGACCCTCAAGACTAGGAAGAAACTGCATCAACTAACGAGCAAAATAACCAGCTAACATCATAATGACAGGATCAAATTCACACATAACAATATTAAATTTAAATGTAAATGGACTAAATGCTCCAATTAAAAGACACAGACTGGCAAATTGGATAAAGAGTCAAGACCCATCAGTGTGCTATATTCAGGAAACCCATCTCACATACAGAGACACACATAGGCTCAAAATAAAAGGATGGAGGAAGATCTACCAAGCAAATGGAAAACAAAAAAAGGCAGGGGTTGCAATCCTAGTCTCTGATAAAACAGACTTTAAACCAACAAAGATCAAAAGAGACAAAGAAGGCCATTACATAATGGTAAAGGGATCAATTCAACAAGAAGAGCTAACTATCCTAAATATATATGCACCCAATACAGGAGCACCCAGATTCACAAAGCAAGTCCTGAGTGACCTACAAAGAGACTTAGACTCCCACACATTAATAATGGGAGACTCTAACACCCCACTGTCAACATTAGACAGATCAACGAGACAGAAAGTCAACAAGGATACCCAGGAATTGAACTCAGCTCTGCACCAAGCAGACCTAATAGACATCTACAGAGCTCTCCACCCCAAATCAACGGAATATACATTTTTTTCAGCACCACACCACACCTATTCCAAAATTGACCACATACTTGGAAGTAAAGCTCTCCTCAGCAAATGTAAAAGAACAGAAATTATAACAAACTATCTCTCAGACCACAGTGCAATCAAACTAGAACTCAGGATTAAGAATCTCACTCAAAGCCGCTCAACTGCATGGAAACTGAACAACCTGCTCCTGAATGACTACTGGGTACATAACGAAATGAAGGCAGAAATAAAGATGTTCTTTGAAACCAACGAGAACAAAGACACAACATACCAGAATCTCTGGGACGCATTCAAAGCAGTGTGTAGAGGGAAATTTACAGCACTAAATGCCCACAAGAGAAAGCAGGAAAGATCTAAAATTGACACCCTAACATCACAATTAAAAGAACTAGAAAAGCAAGAGCAAACACATTCAAAACCTAGCAGAAGGCAAGAAATAACTAAAATTAGAGCAGAACTGAAGGAAATAGAGACACAAAAAAACCCTTCAAAAAATTAACGAATCCAGGAGCTGGTTTTTTGAAAGTATCAACAAAATTGATAGACCACTAGCAAGACTAATAAAGAAAAAAAGAGAGAAGAATCAAATAGATGCAATAAAAAATGATAAAGGGGATATCACCACCGATCCTACAGAAATACAAACTACCATCAGAGAATACTACAAACAGCTCTACGCAAATAAACTAGAAAATCTAGAAGAAATGGATAAATTCCTGGACACATACACTCTCCCAGACTAAACCAGGAAGAAGTTGAATCTCTGAATAGACCAATAACAGGAGCTGAAATTGTGGCAATAATCAATAGCTTACCAACCAAAAAGAGTCAAGGACCAGATGGATTCACAGCCGAATTCTACCAGAGGTACAAGGAGGAACTGGTACCATTCCTTCTGAAACTATTCCCATCAATAGAAAAAGAGGGAATCCTCACTAACTCATTTTATGAGGCCAGCATCATCCTGATACCAAAGCTGGGCAGAGACACAACCAAAAAAGAGAATTTTAGGCCAATATCCTTGATGAACATTGATGCAAAAATCCTCAATAAAATACTGGCAAACCAAATCCAGCAGCACATCAAAAAGCTTATCCACCATGATCAAGTGGGCTTCATCCCTGGGATGCAAGTCTGGTTCAATATATGCAAATCAATAAATGTAATCCAGCATATAAACAGAACCAAAGACAAAAACCACATGATTATCTCAATAGATGCAGAAAAGGCCTTTGACAAAATTCAACAACGCTTCATGCTAAAAACTCTCAATAAATTAGGTATTGATGGGATGTATCTCAAAATAATAAGAGCTATCTATGACAAACCCACAGCCAATATCATACTGAATGGGCAAAAACTGGAAGCATTCCCTTTGAAAACTAGCACAAGACAGGGATGCCCTCTCTCACCACTCCTATTCAACATAGTGTTGGAAGTTCTGACCAGGGCAATTAGGCAGGAGAAGGAAATAAAGGGTATTCAATTAGGAAAAGAGGAAGTCAAATTGTCCCTGTTTGCAGACGACATGATTGTGTATCTAGAAAACCCCATCGTCTCAGCCCAAAATCTCCTTAAGCTGATAAGCAACTTCAGCAAAGTCTCAGGATACAAAATCAATGTACAAAAACCACAAGCATTCTTATACACCAACAACAGACAAACAGAGAGCCAAATCATGAGTGAACTCCCATTCACAGTTGCTTCAAAGAGAATAAAATACCTAGGAATCCAACTTACAAGGGATGTGAAGGAACTCTTCAAGGAGAACTACAAACCATTGCTCAAGGAAATAAAAGAGGATACAAACAAATGGAAGAACATTCCATGCTCATGGGTAGGAAGAATCAATATTGTGAAAATGGCCACACTGCCCAAGGTAATTTACAGATTCAATGCCATCCCCATCAAGCTACCAATGACTTTCTTCACAGAATTGGAAAAAACTACTTTAAAGTTCATATGGAACCAAAAAAGAGCCCGCATCGCCAAGTCAATCCTAAGCCAAAAGAACAAAGCTGGAGGCATCACACTACCTGACTTCAAACTATACTACAAGGCTACAGTAACCAAAACATCATGGTACTGGTACCAAAACAGAGATATAGATCAATGGAACAGAACAGAGCCCTCAGAAATAACGCCACATATCTACAACTATCTGATCTTTGACAAACCGGAGAAAAACAAGCAATGGGGAAAGGATTTCCTATTTAATAAATGGTGCTGGGAAAACTGGCTAGCCATATGTAGAAAGCTGAAACTGGATGCCTTCCTTATACCTTATACAAAAATCAATTCAAGATGGATTAAAGACTTCCATGTTAGACCTAAAACCATAAAAACCCTAGAAGAAAACCTAGGCATTACCATTCAGGACATAGGCATGGGCAAGGACTTCATGTCTAAAACACCAAAAGCAATGGCAACCAAAGCCAAAATTGACAAATGGGATCTAATTCAACTAAAGAGCTTCTGCACAGCAAAAGAAACTACCATCAGAGTGAACAGGCAACCTACAAAATGGGAGAAAATTTTCGCAACCTACTCATCTGATAAAGGGCTAATATCCAGAATCTACAATGAACTCAAACAAATTTACAAGAAAAAAACAAACAACCCCATCAAAAAGTGGGCAAAGGACATGAACAGACACTTCTCAAAAGAAGACATTTATGCAGCCAAAAAACACATGAAAAAATGCTCACCATCACCGGCCATCAGAGAAATGCAAATCAAAACCACAATGAGATACCATCTCACACCAGTTAGAATGATGATCATTAAAAAGTCAGGAAACAACAGGTGCTGGAGAGGATGTGGAGAAATAGGAACACTTTTACACTGTTGGTGGGAATGTAAACTAGTTCAACCATTGTGGAAGTCAGTGTGGCGATTCCTCAGGGATCTAGAACTAGAAATACAATTTGACCCAGCCATCCCATTACTGGGTATATACCCAAAGGACTATAAATCATGCTGCTATAAAGACACATGCACACGTATGTTTATTGCGACATTATTCACAATAGCAAAGACTTGGAACCAACCCAAATGTCCAACAATGATAGACTGGATTAAGAAAATGTGGCACATATACACCATGGAATACTATGCAGCCATAAAAAATGATGAGTTCATGTCCTTTGTAGGGACATGGATGAAATTGGAAATCATCATTCTCAGTAAACTATCGCAAGAACAAAAAACCAAACACTGCATATTCTCACTCATAGGTGGGAATTGAACAATGAGAACACATGGACACAGGAAGGGGAACATCACACTCCGGGGACTGTTGTGGGGTGGTGGGAGTGGGGAGGGATAGCATTGGGAGGTACACCTAATGCTAGATGATGAATTAGTGGGTGCAGCACACCAGCATGGCACATGTATACATATGTAACTAACCTGCACATTGTGCACATGCACCCTAAAACTTAAAGTATAATAATAATAAAAAAAAAAGAAGTTATAAAGCCCTGAAACCAAGGTAGCGGAGAAATTTCCAGCTTTGGCCATAACATGAGAGATTTTTTTCCACCAATCTGTGCCCAGTTTTCTTTTGTAGAACATGCTGTTCTAACATAATAATCAAAGGTAAGGTGATGCATTATTGGTAAGAAATAGGAGCTTATGCTCTTGGTAATAATCCATGAATGTGATTGTAGAAGGCAACATCCATTTGACATTCTAGGAAATTCCATAAGGCTGAAAGACTTCTTGGAAGGAACTTCTACATTTCTTAGACAATAAAGAGATTCAGCAGGTCATATATGGGAGAGTGTGGGAGAAAGTAATTCACCTCAATTAGGCTTGATGATCTCGTGTCATTTCTGAAGCTGATACACCTGAAATGCAACACACCAGAGAGAATCTCTGGTAAATATTAATAGGTCAGCCTCAGAGGGTGATCTTGGAGACTCTCCTTCCACATTTCTTGTTTCACTTCAATATCCAACATGCTGAACAATACAAGAGCTTCTAAGAGTGCAGCCACATCATTCTCACTTGAATTACTAAATAGCTTTCTGTCTCCCTGTCTATGCTTTTCACTCTCTGTTCTCTTCAATGCCACCAGTTTTCATTTTCAAACCAAGTAACCCTTCAAAAAAATTATCAAATAGGGCCAGGTGTGGTGGCTTATGCCTATAATCCTAGCACTTTGGGAGGCAAAGGTGGGAGGATCACTTGAGCTCAGGAGTTCAAGACCAGCCTAAGCAACATAGTGAGCATTTACATTAGTTGACCTTACTTGAATTAGGCACAGAGGTGGCCATCTGATGTAAACTTACCACATTTGGAGTTGAGATGGAGATGCTTATTCTAGACTGATTGCTGGAACCAAGGCAATGTGTAACTGGCATATAGAAGCCATGCATGTTAAATAGAAAGGCAGAGGTGAGACTAGAGGAGGCAGCTACCCCGGTTCCTGATGGCTTTCTTGTTCTTGGTCAAAGTCCCTTTAAAACCCAGCTGTGTTCCTGTCTTTGGAATCTAGATGATTTTCCTGCATCCTTATGGATAAATCTTCAACCCCATTCTTATTTTATTTTTTCTCAAGCTAGTTTAAGTGAGATTTTGTTGTATCCAAACAAAAAAGCTCTCACTAACATGGCATTTAGGATGAAATTCAAACACTTTCACCTGGTTTGCAATGTTCTTTATGCTGGTGCCTGCTTTTGCTTCCATTTTACCTCTCTTAATGTGTATCATACATAATCCAGCTCTGATCAATCTCCTTTAAAGCTCAGCTCCTCCAAGAAAAGTCCCCAATAACTTCCCAGCCTTTGAAGTACTTCTTTCTTGTATATTTGTCATGCTGCTCTTGTGTCTGGTGGTTTCCCCATCCCTCCTCTACTAGGCTCTATGGACAGTCAAGATTAGATGTTCTATTCGTAGCCCCCATGGTAGTGCTAGGCCCTTAGGAGATACTAATAAATAGCAAATAAGTGAAAGAATATATTCGTAATAAAACTATCCACTGTTGACATAAAAACCATATTATAAAACCTAGACCTAGGCCGGGCGTGGTGGCTCATGCTGTAATCCCAGCACTTTGGGAGGCTGAGGCAGGTGGATCACTTGAGGTCAGGAATTCAAGTCAAGCCTGGCCAACATGGCAAAACCCCGTCTCTATTAAAAACACAAAACTGGGCCAGGCACAGTAACTCATGCCTGTAATCCCAGCACTTTGGGAGGCCGAGGCGGGTGGATCACGAGGTCAGGAGATCAAGACCATCCTGGTCAACATGGTGAAACCCTGTCTCTACTAAAAATACAAAAATTAGCTGGATGTGGTTGTGTGTGCTTGTAATCCCAGCCACTAGGGAGGCTGAGGTAGGAGAATCGCTTGAACCCGGGAGTTGGAGATTGCAGTGAGCTGAGATCATGCCACTGCACTCCAGCCTGGCAACAGAGCAAGACTCCATCTCAAAAAAAAAAAAAAAAAAAAAAAAAAAAAGAAAGAAAAAAAAATTAGCTGGGCTTGGTGGTGCTCGCCTGTAATCCCAGCTACTCGGGAGGCTAAGGCAGAAGAATTGCTTGAATCCAGGAGGCAGAAGTTGCAGTGAACCAAGGTCGTGCCACTGCACTCCATCCTGGGTGACAGAGGGAGACTCTGTCTCAAAAAATAAATAAAACCTAGGCCTTATAGTAGAGCAAAGTAGTTAGGAATGTAGGATTTCGAATCAGTCTACTGCATAGGTGAAAACCACCTATTCCATAGGGTTATAAGGATTAAGTGAGATAATGTATATAAACTACTCAGGACATTAGCCTGGGATATAATAATTAATGAGCATTTAATAATCAGTAGATATAGGTCTTTTTCATTCTAGATTTAGAATAAAAATATATTTAGAATGTATATCTATTCTGTATTTTAAAACAGAGTTAGGACTCCCAGAACTATAGGAATCAGTGACTCTATAAAGCACTGGAAATTTCTAAAACCAACATTTTGCAACTTGAAGGAATTTAGCTGGGATTGAGAGCTGACTACAGATGTGTCATAGACAATAAGCTTTGGTGAATATTTGCCAAAGCTGGTTTGCAGACCATCTTCTATGTAAAACTCTTTAAGGATTTGACTGACTGCTGGCCCAAGGTGTGGTTGTTGCTTAAGAGCCTACCCTAGATTGGTCAGCATTTTCTCACCTGCCTGTCCAGATTCCGTAAGAGAAGTTGTCCACTCGCAGCTCAGCAGGGACTGCCCCTCCTCATGGTGGCCTTGCCCTCCCCATCCCTCCTCTGGATAAATGAACAAAGACCTGATCTGCAGAGTCATAGACCACACAGACCCCAAGACCCCATGGAGAAGAGACAGAGTGAATTGGAAGGTAACATCCCCAATGAAGCCTGATTGTCCTTCCTAGATTGGATTCTCTGAGATTGGCCCACATTCTTACAACACACTTCCTTTTCATAAGCTAGTTTGAGTGGGTTTTGGCTTGTTTTGCTTCTCAAGTAAAAAAAATATTACCAAGATGGGAGGCCCAATGAGGGGATAGGAGTTGGGTGAAGAGGGGCAGTCCCTGAGAATCTCAGTGTGGGGAGCCGGTAGCCTGGGGAATAAAGTAGAAAGCCAGCCAGCTAAGTCTCCACTGGTAGTCCTAGACCACGTTTCCTCCTGGATCCAGGTGGCTGAATACCATATCAGAATGTGAGCACTCCTCCTGGTCATATTGTACTCATAAAGTACAATAGGAGAGATAGGTTTATGGGGCAAAGCTGGAAGCAGAAATAGCAGGAAGGCTTTCTTCCCTCCTTACTATCTTCTTTCCAATTCCTTCCTACCCTACCATAAAGGGATTTTGGTAAAAAATGCATCAGAGTTATACTCTAAGACATGATCAATATTGGCAAGGTTTGTTAGTCTTGTAGCCTCTCCAGTCTTTAAACAAGATTTTAAATTTCAACTTTTATTTTAGTACATGTGCAGGTTTGTTAGATGGGTATATTGTATAATGCTGTTTTGGGGTAAGAATGAGTCTGTCACCCAGGAAGTGACATAGTACCTAATAGTTTTCAACCGTTGTCCCCTACCATCCCTCCCCACTCTAGTAGTCCCCAGTGTCTATTGTTATCATCTTTATGTCCATGAGTACCTAATATTTAGCACCCACTTATAAGTGAGAATATGCTGTATTTGGTTTTCTGTTCCTGTGTTAATTTGCCTAGGATAATGGCCTCCATCTACATCCATGTTGCTGCAAAGCACATGAATTTGTTCTTTTTTATGGCTGTATAGAATTCTATGGTGTGTATGTACCACGTTTTCTTTATTCAATCCACCGCTGTTGGGCACCTAGGTTGATTCCATGTCTTTGCTATTGTGAAGACTCTCTGTTTTTTGTTTGTTTGTTTTTTTCTCTGTCACCCAGGCTGGAGTGCAGTGGCGCCATCATGGCTCACTGCAACCTCTGCCTCCCGGGCTCAAGCAATTCTTCCACTTTAGCCTCCTGAGTAGCTGGGACCACAGGTGTGCACCACCACACCTGGCAAATTTTTTTGGAGCAACTTATTTAAACTCCTGTGTCTGATCTCTATTAATTTAAAAAAAAAAAATAGAGATGGGGTTTTGCCATGTTGTCCAGGCTGGTCTCAGACTTGTGAGCTCAAGCAATCTGCCCACTATGGCCTCCCAAAGTGCTGGGATTACAGGCATGAGCCACCATGCATGGCCTTCTCCAGTCTTAAGAATAGGAATTAATAGGAACTAAGCCTCTCCCTACATTGCTCTGTAACAATCTTCCACTGCATGGGAGGAAAGATAGAGGGAATGATGGAAAGGAAAAGGAGAGAGAACAGAAGAGTCTCACAGGACCTATAAGACAAAAATTCAATAAAAAAAAAACAACAACCAAAAAACCAAGGTATATAGGCAACAAACAGCACAATAAATGGAATGGTACCTCACATCTCAATACTAACATTGAATGCAAATGGCCTAAATGCTCCACTTAAAAGATGCAGAATTGCAGAATGGATAAGAATTCACCAACCATCTGCTGCCTTCAAAAAACTCACCTAACACTCAAGGACTTACATAAACTTAAGGTAAAGGGGTGGAAAAAGACATTCCATGCAAATGGACACCAAAAGCAAGCAGGAGTAGCTACTCTTATATCAGACAAAACAAACTTTAAAGCAACAGCAATTAAAAAAGACAAAGCGGGACATTATATAATGATAAAAGGCCTTGTCCAACAGGAAAATATCACAATCCTAAATATATATGCACTTAACACTGGAGCTCCCAAACTTATAAAACAATTACTACTAGATCTAAGAAATGAGACAGACAGAAACACAGTAACAGTGGGGGACCTCAATACTCCACTGACAGCACTAGACAGGTTATCAAGACAGGAAAGTCAACAAAGAAACAATGGATTTAAATTATACCCTGGAATAAATGGACTTAACAGATATTTACAGAACCTTCTACCCAACAAATGCAGAATATTCATTCTATTCATCAGTGCATAGAAATTTATCCAAGATAGACCATATGATAGGCCACAAAACAAGCCTCAATAAATTTAAGAAAATTGAATTATATCAAGCACTCTCTCAGACTACAGTGGAATAAAACTGGAAATAAACTCCAAAAGGAAGCTTCAAAACCATGCAAATACATGGAAATTAAAAAACCTGCTCCTGAATAAGCATTGGGTCAAAAATGAAATCAAGATGGAAATTTAAAAATTCTTCAAACTGAACGACAATAGTGACATGACTTATCAAAACCTCTGGGATACAGCAAAGGCGGTGCTAAGAGGAAAGTTCATAGCCCTAAATGCCTACATCAAAAAGTCTGAAAGAGCACAAACAGACCATCTAAGGTCACACTTCAAGGAACTAGAGAAACAAGAACAAACCAAACCCAAACCCAGTAGGAGAAGGGAAATAATTAAGATCAGATCAGAACTAAATTAAATTGAAACAAACAAACAAACAAAAAAACAAGATAAATGAAACAAAAAGCTGGTTCTTTGAAAAGATAAATAAAACTGATAGACCATTAGCAAGATTAACCAAGAAGAGAGAAAATTCAAATAAGCTCAATTAGAAATGAAATGGGAGATATTACAACTGACATCACAGAAATACAAAGGCTACTATGAACACTTTTGCATGCATAAACTAGAAAACCTAGAGGAGATGGATAAATTCCTGGAAAGTTACAACCCATCTAGCTTAAATCAGGAAGAATTAGATACCCTGAACAGACCAATAACAAGCAGCAAGATTGAAATGGTAATAAAATTACTAACAAAAAAAAGTACGGGACAAGATTCACAGCAGAATTCTACCAGACATTCAAAGGAGAATTGGTACCAATCCTACTGACACTATTCCACAAGACAGAGAAAGAGGGAATCCTCCCTAAATCATTCTATGAAGCAAGTATCACCCTAAACCAAGGACAGGACATAACCAAAAAAGAACAGTATAGACCAATATCCCTGATGAACATAAATGCAAAAATACTAGCTAACCAAATCCAACAATGTATCCAGAAAGATAATCCACCATGATCAAGTGGGTTTCATACCAGGGATGCAGGAATGGTTTAACATATGCAAGTCAATAAATGTGATATACCACATAAATAGAATTAAAAACAAAAAATCACATGATCATCTCAATAGATGCAGAAAAAGCATTAGACAAAATCCAGCATCCTTTATGATTAAAATTCTCAGAAAAATCGGCATACAAGGGACATACCTCAACATAATACAAGCCATCTATGACAAACCCACAGCCAAAATAATACTGAATGGGAAAAAGCTGAAAGCAGCTGGATGCAGTGGCTCACGCCTGTAATCCCAGCACTTTGGGAGGCCAAGGTAGGCAGATCACGAGGTCAAGAGATCGAGAACATCCTGGCCAACATGGTGAAACCCTGTCTCTACTAAAAATACACACACACACACAAATTAGCTCGACATGGTGGCACATGCCTGTAGTCTCAGGTACTCAGGAGGCTGAGGCAGGAGAATAGCGTGAGCCTGGGAGGTGGAGGTTGCAGTGAGCCAAGATTGTACCACTGCACTCCAGCCTGGGTGACAGCAAGACTCTGTCTCAAAAAAAAAAAAAAAAAAGAAGAGTTGAAAGTATTCCCTCTGAGAATTGGAATAACTCTCACAACTTCCCTTTAACATAGTACTGGAATTCCTAGCCAGAGCAATCAGACAAGAGAAAGAAATAAAGGGCATCCAAATTGGTAAAGAGGAAATCAAACTGTCGCTGTTTGCTGATGATATGATTGTTTACCTAGAAAACCACAAAGACTCCTCCAGAAAGCTGCTAGAACTGATAAAAGAATTCAGCAAAATTTCCAGATACGAAATTAATGTACACAAATCAGTTGCTCTTCTACACAACAACAGCGACCAAGCTGAGAATCAAAATAGCTGCAAAAAAAATAAAATACTTAGGAGTATACCTAACCAAGGAGTTGAAAGACCTCTACAAGGAAAACTACAAAACACTGCTGAAAGAAATCACAGATGACACAAACAAATGGAAACACATCCTATGTTCATGGATGGGTAGAATCATTATTGTGAAAATGACCATACTGCCAAAAGCAATCTACAAATTCAGCGCAATCCCCATCAAAATACTACCATCATTCTTCATAGAACTAAAAAAAACAAAAACAAAAAAAAAACAAATCTGGAGGCATCACATTGCCTGATTTCAAACTATGGTATAAGTCCATAGTCACCAAAACAGCATGGTACTGGTATAAAAATAGGCACGTAGAACAATGGAACAGAACAAAGAACTCAGAAATAAACCCAAATACTTGCAGCCAACTGATCTTCCATACAGTATCAGGGAACCTGCCCTGATAGTCACATAGGTTCTTTTCTATTTTCCCTAAGCATCGGCCAGGTTGAGAAAAAAAGGGACAGAGTACAAAAGGGAGAAATTTTAAAGCTGGGCATCCAGGGGAGACATCACATGTCGGTAGGTTCCGTGATGCCCCACAAGCCACAAAACCAGCACGTTTTTATGAGGGACTTTCAAAAGGGGAGGGAGTGTACAAACAGCGTGTGGGTCACAAAGGTCACGTACTTCACAAGGTAATAGAATATCACAAGGCAAATGGAGGCAGGGCAAGATCACAGGACCACAGGACCGGGGTGAAATTAAAATTGCTAATGAAGTTTCGGGCCCCATTGTCATTGATCACATCTTATCAGGAGACAGGGTTTTGAGAGCAAACGGTCTGACCAAAATTTATTAGGCGGGAATTTCCTCTTCCTAATAAGCCTGGGAGCGCTATGGGAGACTGAGGTTTATTTCATCCCTACAGTTTCGACCATAGAAGACGGCCACACCCAAGGGGGCCATTTACAGACCCACCCTCAGGGGTGCATTCTCTTTCTCAGGGATGTTCCTTGCTAAGAAAAAGAATTCAGCGATATTTCTCCCATTTGCTTTTGAAAGAAGAGAAACATGGCTCTTTTCCGCCTGGCTCACCGGCGGTCAGTTTAAGGTTATCTCTCTTATTCCCTAAACAATTGCTGTTATCCTGTTCTTTTTTCAAGGTGCCCAGATTTCATATTGTTCAAACACACGTTCTACAATTTGTGCAGTTAATGCAATTATCACAGGGTCCTGAGGTGACATACATCCTCCTCAGCTGACAGGATTAAGATATTAAAGACAGGCCTAGGAAATCACAAGGGTATTGATTGGGGAAGTGATAAGTGTCCATGAAATCTTCACAATTTGTGTTTAGAGATTGCAGTAAAGATAGGCATAAGAAATTATAAAAGTATTAAATTGGGGAACTAATAAATGTCCATGAAATCTTCACAATCCATGTTCTTCTGCCATGGCTTCAGCCGGTCCCTCTGTTTGGGGTCCCTGACTTCCCACAACAATAAAGCAAACAAAAACATAAAGTGGTGATAGGACACCCTATTCAACAAATAGTGCTGGGATAATTGGCAAGCCACATGTAGGAGAATGAAACTGGATCCTCGTCTCTCACCTTATGCAAAAATCAACTCAAGATGGATCAAGAATTTAAATCTAAGACCTGAAACTATAAAAATTCTAGAAGATAACATTGGAAAAACCTTCTAGACATTGGCTTAGGCAAGGATTTCATGACCAAGAACCCAAAAGAAAATGCAATAAAAACAAAGATAAATAGCTGGGACATAATTAAACGAAAGAGCTTTTGCACAGCAAAAGGAAGTCAGCAGAGTAAACAGGCAACCCACAGAGTGGGAGAAAATCTTCACTATCTATACAATTGACAAAGGACTAATATCCAGAATCTACAACAAACTCAAACAAATCAGCAAGAAAAAAACAAACAATCCCATCAAAAAGTGGGCTAAGGATACGAATAGAAAATTCTAAAAAGATGATGTACAAATGGCCAACAAAGATATGAAAAAATACTCAACATCACTAACAATCAGGGAAATGTAACTTAAAACTACAATGCGATACCACCTTACTCCTGCAAGAATGGCCCTAGTTAAAAAAAAAAAGAACAAAAAATGATATATGTTGGTGTGGATGTGGTGAACAGGGAACACTTCTACACTGTTGGTGGGAATGTAAACTACTACAGCCACTATGGAAAACAGTGTGGAGATTCCTTAAAGAACTAAATGTAGAACTACTATTTGATCCAGCAATCCCACTATTGGGTATCTACCCAGAGGAAAGGAAGTCATTATATGAAAAAGATACTTGAACATATATTTATAGCATCACAATTCGCAATTGCAAAAACGTGGAACCAGACTGGGTGTGGTAGCTCATGCCTGTAATCCCAGCACTTTGGGAGGCTGAAGCAGGTGGATCACCTGAGGTCAGGAGTTCAAGACCAGCCTGGCCAACATTGTGAAACCCTGTCTCTACTAAAAATACAAAAATTAGCTGGGCGTGGTGGCATGTGCCTGTAATCCCAGCTACTGGGGAGGCTGACGCAGGAGAATTGCTTGAACCTGGAAGGCGGAGGTTGCAGTGAGCCGAGATCACGCCATTGTACTCCAGCCTGGGCGATAAGAGCAAAAACTCCATCTCAAAAAACAAACAAACAAAAAAACAGTGGAACCAAACCAAATGCCCATCAATCAACAAGTAGATAAACTGTGGTGTGTGTGTACAGACAGACATATATGTACAGACATATATGTACATACAGACATATATGTACAGACATATATGTACATACAGACATATATGTACATACACACACACACACATAGTGTATAGTGGAATACTACTCAGCTATAAAAAGGAATGAATTAGTGGCATTTGCAGCAACCTGGATGAGAATGGAGACTATTATTCTAAGTGAAGTAACCCAGGAATGAAAAACCAAACATTGTATGTTCTCACTCATAAGTGGGAGCTAAGCTATGAGGATGCAAACGCATAAGAATGACACAATGGATTTTGGGGGTCAGAGGGAAAGTGTGGGAAGGGGCCAAGGGATAAAAGACTACAAATTGTGTGCAGTGTATACTGCTCAGGTGATGGGTGAACCAAAATCTCACAAATCACCACTAAATAACTTATTCATGTAACCAAACACCACCTGTTCCCCAATAACCTATGGAAATAAAAAAAATTAAAAAATTGGCCAGGCATGGTGGCATGTGCCTGTAGTCCCAGGTACTCAGGAGGCTGAGGCAAGAGAATCGCTTGAACCTGGGAGGTGAAGGCTGCAGGGAGCCGAGATCTCCAGCCTGGGCGACAGAGCAAGATTCTGTCTCAAAAACAAACAAACAAAAAGACTAATGTTTCTACTTTTGATATCAGCATAGTAATAAAAGAACAAACAGCTTATAAAATCATTCTCAAGTCTTTAATTAAAATCCATAGAGCATTTAACATGAACAGATGTTTAAACTCTTTCAGTGACTCTCATATTTTAAAATCCTTTGCACAGCATCGTGAGGCTAACTTCATGCTAGAAATCTACGGATAACGTAACACCACAAAAATACATTCGGAGTCCATTCCAATGCAAGTTTAAAACACTTTAATTGGCAGACAATGTAAAGATATTTAAAATCAAAAATTACAAAATGAGCACATAAAAGTCTTCCCTTTTGAATTTTTAATAAAATACTTCTCTGTATAAGATCTAATGAAAAATTCCAGTTACTTATAAAATAGTTGAGAAATCAATTAAGATATGTATCTATATATGTATGAATTACACTTTTGTTTAAATGAACAAAATGTTGAACACTTCAATGACAGCACAGCATCTATTACTCACATTAAACTAGATGAAAATACTCAAAGAAGCAGTTGGATACAGGCAAAAGAAAATATGATACTTAAAGCCAAAAGACAAAAAAATCCAAAAAACGAAAACAACCTCCCCATCCCCCACCAAACCCTTAACTGTAAGGGAAAGAAAGGAAGAGAGAACTTAAAGCTAACTATGGACCAAATTCTCATTCTTTTTAATGAGAAACAGCATGAGAATTTGGCTTCAAATTACTAAAACAGCTACAGAAACCTATTTGGCCTGGACAATTTAATAGTATACCAACTGCTGAAACAACCAAGTGCAGTTGGTGTACGGCTGGAGGGAAAAAAAAAAAGACTTTTTACAGGTTTAACTTTGTAAAAAAATGTATCTTTTGGAAACCATAGTCTCCTTCACAAATTGCACTTGAGATGGCTGAATGCATTGATTGAGCAAGGCATTATTATTTGTTCACTGACACACACACAAAAGCAGCTACAGATAGTTGACATTTTGGACTACTAAAACTATTTTATACATGTTTTTCTTCTTTAAGAAAAGGATCTATGATGTCTGTGAAACTTAACGGCCTGTCTGCTCTGCCATGTTTCTGGAGACTTGATGCTGGTTCAACACTATCTCTTACTGTATTGGAGAAGTTTGATGGAAATATGAATAAAGTCAGTCCGAACGACATTAATTTCTGGAATTTTAAGCTTTATCTTGACTAGGAAAGGAAGCTCCTGCAAAACTGATGGTTTCACTGACAAAGCTTACAAAATGTATATACTGAGCACTGCCAGTTTGAGTACTATAATTTATCTCTAGAAAAATGACAAATGAACTTCTGCAATTGATTTTTAAAGACAGAGAACGACTTTCACAGCCACTTCTCTACAATAAATTAATTGTCTTCTACAGTAAAAACAAAATTTGGAAGCAACATGATACCAAGAAATACAGCAAGCTCATAAGGCTGAGAAATTGTACAGTTGCTTTAAAAAACTGTGCTCTAAATAATGGGAAGAAGCGTGACAGAACTAACTTGAGTGAAGATCTGCACAGCTCTATCTCATATAATAAAAGTAAAAATTAGACAACCACTATAAACAGTTATGACTAACACAAATAGAACACATAAATAAAAAGTGAGTAAAAAAGACCTTACAGTTTATCTATTTCCTTGTGCTAGAAAGATACGGTATAGTCCAAAAATGCAGTGACTGGGTATGTCTTATTTAACTGTTTTTCTTCTTCCATCTGCCTCCCTCTCTCTGCCTCCTCTCATTAAAACCAAGAATCTAGCTTAGTTTGGAAGTAGCAGTCTAAAATGAAAGCAGGTACCTGATCATAGAAAGAAACAATAAAAAAACTTGCATCAATAGTTCTTCATTCCTCCACCAATCGGGAAAAAAACCCTTCAATCTTTATTAGTTACCCCTTTGAAAAGCAAGAAAAATCTTAAATTGAAACCAAGGTTCAGTAGAGGTGACTTTAATTTTTTTCTGCAACTACAACTGAGTCTTAGATGTTTAAGACTTTAGTCTACATGATGTTTAAATCAATTAATACATTCAAATTCTAACGCTGAGGTAATTATTAGGTAATGCAGGAAAATGTGAAAAGGAACGAGACTGGAAGGAGCAATCTTCAAAATTCACTTAAGTTGCTCAAAAAAGAAAAAACTTATTGAATAGAAATATTTAGAAATAATGTTTCAGTTAGGAGACAAAGGCTTAAATAGATTGAAGTGCTCTAGTTATGTGGAAGCATAAAGCAATTTGGGGAATCTGTCCTATGCCCTAAACAGTCCACCATTTTCACAAAAAGTCCTCAGAAGATTCAAGTTGAATGAGCATATTTTTAAACTTTGGGGGTGGTCTTAGTCCACCCCATCTCAAAGAGAGAATTTTAAATTTCTTGAAGTCCAACTGCTTTTCAGATATACTCTAAATTCCAGGTCTATCAACAGATTGTTTCCTCAACATGGGGCAGAAATGGCCTCTGCTTCTTACATCCTCCATAGGGAGGGCACATCTCCCATTGACCTCAGGCCCACATTTAGAATGGGTCTACAGGGGGAAAAGAATAGAGAATGCCTGACCACTATCCAGCCATTATGGAGCTCTCTCCTATCTTAATCTCTTCTCAGTTTTGACCTTTAGAATAATAATGTTAAAAAAAAAGTAAGGATAATAAAACTTTTTTCTTTTTTTTGAGACAGAGTCTTGCTCTGCTCTCCAGGCTGGAGTGCAGTGGTGCAATCTCGGCTCACTGCAGACTCTGCCTCGCGGGTTCAAATGATTCTCATGCCTCAGCCTCCCGAGTAGCTGGGACTAAAGGCATGTGCCATCACGCCCGGCTAATTTTTGTATTTTTAGTAGAGACAGGGCTTCATCATGTTGGCCAGGCTTGTCTGGAACTCCGGACCTCAAGTGATCCGCCTGCCTTAGCCTCCCGAAGTGCTGGGATTTGAGCCACTGCGCCTGGCTGGAAAATAAAACTCTTTCACTGCCTATCTGTATAGAACTGTCAGCTTGCTGTGCTCAAATATTGGTCAAGTATCCTTATGGGTTTAGTGCACTATGTCTACTGAAATTTCCCTTTGGAGTTTTCAGAAGATGGCAGGTGCCGCTTCTTCTATGCTCTAAAACAGATGTGAGCTGCATGCTATTTATATAACTGTCACACAGGAGTAATGAGTGAGGCAAATTCTCAATGCTGGAGTTTGTACAGCTGAGGTGAAACATTTCACACTTTAAAGTAGGAAGAGGTTAATATAACATTACTGTCACAATTTAACTTTTCTTTGTATTACCATAATAGATGTTTCCTTTAAAAACAAAGAGAGAGTTTATGAGGCAATAATTATACACATTGAGGATTTACTTGAGCCTCATTACTCAAGATCCCACTACAGATAAAGAAACAATGTTGGGAACTGATAAACATCTGAACTTATGAAAATAACAGAAAATAAAATCATGGAAACTTATACGACTATGATAAATGACAGATAATGAATATTTCTCTCTTATACTGAAGGCACTGCTAATACACAAATATCCTGCTAACATTTAAACTCTGAAATCAGCAGTTAGTGAAAGGAGTCCATTTAGTTTAATACCAGCATTTTAAAAAACAAGTAAGACTACTTTAAGAGTCATGGCAGAGTTTCCAATGAGTTACATGAAAATCAGATATAACAAGCTGCTCCATATAAAGATTGTGGTTCCTACTTTTAAAAAAGTATGCTATAACTTACTTCCTTAAAAATATAAGCATATCACAAAAACTAAAGAATAAATATATATATATATATAAACATAGGCCCTGCTGAGAAATCGTCATAAATTCTAAAATAATTTCAACAGTTACAGCTTGAACCACACATTCACATATGACATGCAAAGAGAGAATCCCAGCATCATTGAACAGTTCAGCATAAAGCTAAAAATATAGAATCAGAATGAAATAGGCAGTAAATAATGTATGTCACAAACTGATGACTGTGCCTCCTATATTGTAGCACACCTTGGAACTTAAACAACAATTAGAATTTCTTCAGTCCCAAGAAGCACTACATACCGACCAACTATGAAGCTCTCATAAAATGTCAGGTAAGCAAATAAAAAGCTATACAAAATAATACAGTTTATTAATTAACATGACTAATATTTCATATTTTATTTTGTTAGAAGATTAATTTGTAATCATTGTACCCTGTAGATTTTGAAACAATTTTACTAGAAATTACTAATGCTGGTTCTTGAGTAACCTAAAAAATTGTATTTACTCAAATTTAGAATGCTATTTATAGTTCTAAGCAGTTAGATGAAATATTCTGATTATTCTAAAGTTGCTTTGGTACAAAATTTAGAATAAAGCAAAACTGGCAGCACCACAACAAATGTGATCCTTTCACAGCAGGTCTAAAGACCCTCAGAGGCAACAAAGCATAAGTTAAAACACACATAAATAAGAGCCATTCTCCTGACAATTTTCTTACATCATTAAAAAGAGAAATAAAATCCACATTCAGTAAGTTATACTGGAGGCCCAAATTTCATGCTCCATGTAATTATTCCTCAATGATAGTGTAAAAAATGCTTATTATTGCTAACTGATGTCTAATTCATAGTTCAGGATGCTTCAATCATGAGGCCAATGATTAGAGTGGTACATTTTAATGTTTAGTCCACTGATACTGTGATATTATTTTAATGCAAGGTTTAATTTAGTTTTTTATTACAGATTTATTGAGGTATAATTGACATACAACAAACTGCACATACTTAAAGTGCACAATTTGATACACAGTCTTTTAAACAGCATGAAAAGTGCCTGATAACTTAAAAATGAAAAAAATTTCAATTTACACATATTATTTTAAAATAGTACATTCTAATTTTTATGAGACATAGATATGTATTTATAAAAAGGTAGATGGAAAGAGAAGAAATTAACTTAATTCTAAGAGCCAAATTTACTCAGAAGGTTTAGAAACACCAAAATTAACAGCCAGTTTTCTTGATTTTCTTCTTGAAGAAGAGATTGGTGTTGACTTATGGTGAGATATACTATGGCCTTGAGAGGCAGTTTCAACTTGAAAAGAAGATGCAGGTTGAGCAATCGGAGAGGACTTCAAAGAAGCTGATGAGCTCTCCCGTGGACTTACTTTGACAATGTTGGAAGAATCTGGCTGGCTAGTCTGAACTGGAGTGGCTTGAGAACTCTGGGCTTCCTTATTCTCAAAGTTCTTTTTGTTTGCAACCCTTTTTTTAGTAACCTGTTAGGAATAAAAGCATCACTAATTAATAATGTAGGCAAAAAATTAGCTAGTGTTGGAAATTACCATAAACCATGCATGCTGTTAATATTTGTCAATCACAGCTGATCTGTGACTTCCACTTATAATTGCCAAGTAAGACTTTAGTAATTCAAAGGACTTAGTTACAAACAAAATATTTAAAATTCTTGGGCTGTGTGCAGTGGCTCACAACTGTAATATCAGCACTTTGGGAGGCCGAGGCAGGTGGATCGGTAGAGACCTAGGGTTCGAGACCATGGCAAAACCCCATCTCTACAAAAAAATTACAAAAACTAGACAGGCATGGTGGCACATGCCTGTAGCCTCAGGTACTCGGGAGTCTAAGATGGGAGGATCACTTGAGCCCAGGAAGTCAAGGCTGCAGGGAGTCGAGATTGTGCATGGGCTGCGTTCCAGCCTGGGCTACAGAGTGAGATCCTTCTCCAAAAAAATGAATAATAATAATAATAATAAAAATACAATTCTTCATAGGTTATTTTGAAAATATTTGTGATTTTATTTATATTACTGATTTTAATCAATCTGTATTAGAATAGCATATTACTTGGTACAATTATTGTTTATTAGAACACAAACTCAGAGAGCAGAGACAGGTCAGACTTGTCAACCATTGCCTTCTTACTACCCACACTAGTACTGAACTTCTAGTTGGCACTGAATAAGTAAACTGAATAAAAAAATGTTTATCAATAGTCTTTCAGCATTAAACAAATAATTATCTTAAAAATATTATTTTTCTTACCTGCAGAGGTATAAACTGATTGTGCACACCCCCTGGTATTCCCCCAGCCATGGGCATGGTCCCAGAATATAAAGTATGATGGAAGGGCTTCCCAGGAACTGGCACCGATGGTCCCCATGGCATTGAGCCAAAGAGATGAGACGACGAAGGCATTATATTAGCTGTTAAAAACCAAGGAAAATTTTTCTTTTAGTAAAATGGTATCATCAAAGCTCTGAAATTTGAGACCTCCTTCTGCTAGCCTTTTTGGGCTTTTTTTTTCCCCTTTGGCAAAAGGCCTACACTTACTTCACCTATAATTACTCTTCCTTACAACATTCAACCTCAGGATCCTTTCCTAGGACTGTGTGGACTATCTACACAAATGAATTTATCATTATACTGGCCTGAAAAGGAGAATACTACTACTAATATCATATGCTGATACAAGTTTTAGGAATATTTGCAATTATATTTATAAAAAAAATAAAAGGGTCATGAAATTGTCCCTTGTGAGAGAAAAGCTTGGGCACAAATAGAGAAATCTTAAGGATCTCACCTGCCCCCAATGCATAGTTGCTTCCATAGTGATCCCAGCCTACAAAAAAACCAAAAAACCTCAAGTCCTGAAATCTCATCACCTTCATATGACAGGTAGAATCTTTCTTTTCTCTATTTTAATATTTGAAGTCAAGGCCTTTTTTCACTTACAGTTTGTTTATTAAAAATGTAATGAACCAATGGGTGCCAAATCTAATTTGTATATCTGAATCACTTGAGGAGTTTGTGAAATACAGATTCCTGGACAGGGCCTCAGACCTAGTAAGCCAGACTCTGAGGGGCCCTGGAGTTTGTATTAAGCTCCATAGGCGATTCTTATGGAGACAGCCTGTACCAGTAGAGCATTTGAAAACTACATTAAACAGTGACATTCAAGGCACCAGCACACGCCACTGAAGAAGATATGCACTATGTTCAAATATTCTTTTCATAGAGATAAAAAGCAGCCAGACCTGTAAAACAGTATAGCTTAATTAAAGTTCAGCTATTTAAGACACTTTTAGGTTAGGAGAGAAGAATCATAATATATTTCAGTGTTATGAAATACACATACACAAATTCTAAGAAGAAGAAAACTTTTAATATGAAAAACACTAATAAGATTCAGAAAATTAGGCGAGGCGCAGTGGCTCATGCCTGTAATCCCAGCACTTTGGGATGCCAGGCATGGCACGTGGCTGTGGTCCCAGCTACTCAGGAGGCTAATGTGTGAGGATTGCTTGAGCCTGGGAGGTGGAGGTTGCAGTGAGCCAAGATCATGTCACTGCACTTTAACTTGGTTGACAGAGTGAGACCTAAGAAAAGTAGAAAATTAGGTCTTGAAACTATCTACGAGCAACTTTGGTGGGAGTCATAATGCTAAGAAGGTCTATTTAAAAGATGCTATGCTAATCTTATACAATGGTCAACTCCGTAATTTCCCCAATAAATCACTGTTACAAATATGAAATACATATTCCTCAACTGGGACATTTTACATCACAAATTTTTTTATACCATAAAATAGAAATTTACAAAATAACTTTAAAATGTTAATCTAATGCTTAAGTTGTTCTCTGCTGATTAACCTCCAAATATCTTGGCATTTATGTATTTACATATTTTAACTGGAATATTTGGAGAACACCTTTATAGGACCAAAAGCATTCCAATTATAACCTTAAAATTATTAGTAGGTATGAATAAACTAATCAACATGAAAAAGGTTAAAATATCAATAATAAATGGGGAAAACAAACATTCCTCTTAAAAAATATATGATCATAAGACAATTCTTCTTTAGAGAAGTTTGTGTGCAAACTTTTAGGTACCCTACACATACTAATTACTTAAAATTAATCTATACATAGCTACTGTATTCATTTTTGAATGTGAAGCAGCAGCAGTCAAATTAGATTTTATAAGTTACGGTGATACTATTACATTGAGCTATATAAAAACATCAGATCCATTACGTCATGAAAACTTTATGACTAAAACATTGTTGGCTGGGCACAGTGGCTCATGCCTGTAATCCTGGCACTTTGGGATGCCGAGGCTGGCGGATCCCTTGAGCCCAGAGTTTGAGACAAGCCTGAACAACATGGTGAAACCCTGTCTCTATAAAAAGATACAAAAATTAGCCAGGTGTGGTGGTGGGTGCCATAGTCCCAGCCACTTGGGAGGCAGAGGTAGGAGGATCAACTGAGCCCAAGGAGGTTGAGGCTGCAGTGAGCCCTGATCATGCCACTGCACTCCAGCCTGGGTGACAGAGTGGGACTCTGTCTCAAAAAAAAAAAAAAAAAAAAAAAAAAAAAATCCAAGTCTGTCGTCTGTTTTTTTTTTTTTTTTTTTGAGACCTAGGCTACAGTGCAGTGGCACAATCTTGGCTCACTGCAGCCTCCGCCTCACAGGCTCAACTGATCCTCCTGCCTCAACCTCCTGAATAGCTGGAACTACAGGCACATGGCACCACACTCAGCTAATTTTTTCCATCTTTTGTAGCAGTAAGGTCTCCCTATGTTGCCTAGGCTGGTCTTGAACTCATGGCTCTAGTGATCCTCTGAGCTCAGCCTCTCAAAGTGCTGGGATTACAGGTATGAGCCACCACACTCAGCTATCTGTTTTCAAAGCCCATGCTTTTGTTACTGTACTGCACTGGCATTCCTTTGACTATATAAACAATGTTTTGTTTTGGTTTGGTTTGGGCCTTTGGGGGTTTTCTTGAGATAGGCCTTCCAAAGTGCTGGGATTACAAGCATGAGTCAACAAGCCTGGCTCAGACTTGGATTTTGATGCCAGTTCTGCTAGATAGTAACTTAATGACCTTAGACAAATTACATTAAAAAAAATCAAAATACTACATATACATTGTACTAAAAAAGATTTTCTTTTTCTTTTTTTTTTTTTTGAGACAGAGTCTAGCTCTGTCACCCAGGCTGGAGTGTAGTGGCGCGATTTCAGCTCACTGCAACCTCTGCCTCCTGGGTTCAAGCGATTCTCCTGCCTCAGCCTCCTGAGTAGCTGGGACTACAGGTGTGTGCCATCACACCCAGCTAATTTTAGAATTTTCGTATTTTTAGTAGAGACGGTTTCACCATGTTGGTTAGGCTGGTCTCGAACTCCTGACCTCAAGTGATCCACCCACCTCTGCCTCCCAAACTGCTGGGATTACAAGCGTGAGCCACTGCGCCCGGCCTAAAAAAGATTTTCAACAGAAAACAGCAGACATCTGTTCTACTCCAGGTTTAACTGTTTTAGATATTTCCACACTGTTCAATTATTTGCTTATGCTACTTGTTAATAACTTATTAATTTTAGGCATTTTTAGGTCTACTGACTTCCTATTCAGATAGAACAAAATTTAGTTTTTTTGCATTACCCCTCACTACTTACCCTGTACTCCCAATGTAAGTACATTACATCATTTGTTTAAATATACAAACAGTGTTATCTATTTGTGGTATGTGGCTATGTAAATATTATCACTGCAGAGCCAAGCTGGGTACTCTGATAATGTTTCTTTTCTTGTAAAAAGAGATCCATTATGTATTTTCTTGTAAAACCTTTTGTTTTTACTTGAGTTAGTCATTATCTTCTTTTTTTTTTTTTTTTTTTTTGAGACAGGTCTCATTCTGTCACCCAGGCTGGGGTGCAGTGGCACGATCACAGCTCACTGCAGCCTTGACCTCCCAGGCTCAAGTTATCCTCCCGCCTCAGCCTCCCAAGTAGCTGGGACTATAGGTGCATGCCACCATGTCTGGCTACCTTTGTATTTTTTGTAGATTAGAGATGGGGTTTTATCATGTTGCCCAGGCTGTTTTGCCATGTTGCCCAGGCTAATAATTATTTTTTAAAAGCTTAGTCTTGCTCATATCAATTCTTTAGGAAAAATATAATAAAAGCTGCTTAGTCTTCTCTATACCCATCCTTAATGTTTTCCCATTGCTCATCTATTAATAACCTTCCTTACTGCCAAGACTTCCCTCTGCCTGTCTAGTTGGGACTAGTCACTTTCTAGACCCACTGAGCAGCTGGCATCCTGGGATTTCCATTCATTGTATAACTATACTACATCTACAATTTGTTATTTTGGTTTCCTAATTTTCTTTTAAACTACTGCTTTGTTTTGTTGGAGCATGTAATTCAGTAGCTTCTTAAGAAAGGGTAGGCAAGGCATGAAGGCTCATGCTTGTAATCTCAGCATTTCTGAAGGCTGAAGTGGGAGGACTGCTTGAGTCCACGACTTTGAGACCAGCCTGGGCAACATAGTGAGACCTTGTTGCTTAAAAAAAAAAGGGTACATAAGAAATAAATTTGCGTATCTGAAAATATCTTTGTGTCTCCTTTGTATTAGATTCACAGTTTGGCTATACAGAGAAATTAGGATGAAACTCATTCTGCCTCAGGGTTTTGAGGTATTCAATGCTTTCTGGCTTCTAGGCACTGTTCAATAGTGCAGTACCATTCTAATTTTTGATCTTTGTACATATTTCTTCTCTGAATCTCTTAGGACCACCTTTTTATCACTAGTATTCAGAATCTGAAGATAATCTGTGTCTTTATTCATTGTGCTCAACATTTGGTGGCTCTTTTAGAGATGCATATCGTTTTGTTTTAGAAAAGTTTATTATTTTTTTGACACTTACCTCCTTTCCTTCATCTCTGATCTCTTTTTCTGGAACTCTAATAAGGTGGGAGCTGGATCTGTGCACTAAGTCTCTGTTCTTTCTTATTTTACAGCTTTTATCTTCCTTGGCTTTGCTAGGACTTTATCTACTAAATTTTAAAATTTTACTTAACAATTTTACCTGTACTCTATTCTTTTTTCATCTTCCAATTTCCTATCTGGGGAGAAGGGTATGACTGGCTACAATCTGAGAACAGGATGAGAAAAAGGGAACTTTTCCTTAATCTCTGTGTTTTCAGTCTCACATTCCATTCTCTTCTCTGCCTGGTATTCCCATATCTAGATAGCTCCTCTAGAAAACACACCTCCAGTTTTTTGCTTGCAGAGGTCTGGCTGCGTCACAGAGGGAAGACGGGGGTAGTCTCACCACTTTGCACATAGACTTTCAACCAATCCCTCTCTTTTCAGCACATGCCTCCTCTTTATCTTCTCTAATAGTTTCTGATGCCTCCAAGATCTGAACCTCTTGGGAACGGCGAGGGACAATCTACTTATGCTCATTTGTAGTCTCTTCTACAGGCACTTTAGCTTGTAGCTTTTAAACTTGCTCTGCTAAAATGGTTACTTCTGCAGTTGTTTTTCTCAACACAAACTCTTTTCAAATCTCTAATCTGCTGATATTTCTTCTGTCTTCATCCTCACAGATTTACACTTTTGAAATCCTTTATTATTCAGTTTAATGAGAAGAGACAACTGCATGTCATAAATTTAATCAGTATTATTCACCTTTCTAATGCTTATTGTAAGCATTAGATATTTAGAATTCCTGGAGTATTACCTGGCAGTAGATGCAGAAAAGGGATTTTCTAAACTTAAATAAATTATTGGCTTTAAAACAATAATAATTAAGATAAAGGGAAGCCAACTGCTATTAGGAAAAAAAGCTGAGTGATTTAGAAAATCTCAGAACTTAAGATTTAGAATTACAAAATGTTAGTCTCAACAAGATTTTGGACATAGTCTACTACCAATAAGAAAATACAGTCCTGAAGAAATTACATGATTTTTTTTTTACCTTTTGATGTCTAACTTAAACACAAATTTATCTGTTAGCAGCTACTGGAGAATAAGGGCCTGCCCACTCAACCTCTTCTTACTACTCTAGCCATACTAGAGGCTGTAGGAAGAGAATGGTACTTTTAGATGAATCTGCAGGCTGTGGCTTTAGGCTTTCTCACAATTTCTTCTTACATTCCTAGATATTTGAGTACATTCTTGATTTCTTAAAAGAGCTTAGTAAAAATAACAACTCAATGACAAATACTTATAAATGAAAAATATCTTACCAGTAGGTGGGGGAAAGGCTGGAGGAATGGTTCCAGGTGGTACAGCTGAAGGATAATTTGCAAATACTTGTGAAGGCAAAGGGAAATTCATGCCTAAGGAGCCCTGTGGAAGTATTTAAAAGTTACAAGACAATGCAATACAAGCTTTCTATAGGGACTAATAAAAATTTTAATAGAGAAGTCATGGACAGTTCTTACCAACTGTTGTAAAGCAAAAAGTGCAGCTTTCTCTTTGGCTTCATTTTCAGAGTGGCACTGTGGCCCATGTACCAGTAAGCCATTAGATAATTTTACTTGGCAAACGGTCATTGTCTAAAAAAAGAGAATATATATGTCTATGAAATTCTCTGTCTAGGAAGTTGACCTCTCCCAAAGTTTAGTCTAAACAAGTAAAATAATTTTATCAAGAATTTAAAAAAGGGCTTTCAGTTCAAGTTTTCAATTGCCAGGCAAAAATTTTCGAGTTGTTGCCTTATCTTTTTCAGTGTTTACAAAATAAAAAGCTTTCTAAGCTGGCTGAAGGGTCAATCCACCTAATGCAAATGAAAGCCAGCAAAACTGTTTTCTTTATACAAGGAGTTGACAAACTATGGAGTTCTGCCTCTTTTTGTAAATAAAGTCTTACTGGAACATGGCCACATCCATTCTAATGGCTACTTTCACACTGTAACTGTAGAGTTCGGAAGCTGTGATAGAGACTATCTGGCCCACAAGGCCTAAAATATTTACTATCTGACTCTTCACAGAAAAAATTTGCTGACTCATGTTTATACCATCCTTTACTTAGGAGATATTTTGGTAAGATAAGTTAATTGCCAAAATATAAAAGACTCAGAGATTCTGATGTGTTTTCTACTCATATTTAAATTATAACTATATTATACTTTAATTTTCTGTTTTATAAAAAAGCTTGTTTTGTTTTGGTTTACCTTAATTTTTTTTAAAAAATAGATTTGGGAGTACAAATGTAGTTACATGGATATACTACATAGTGGTGAAGTATGGACTTTAGTGTACCCATTGCCTGATTAGTATACATTGTACCCAGTAGGTCATTTCTCATCCCTCACATCCCTCTTAACCATCCCATCTTTTGAAATCTCTAATGTCTATTATTCCACTCTGTATGTCCATGTTTAGTTCCCATTTATAAATGAGAACATGTGATATCTGACTTTCTGTTTCTGAATTATTTCACTTAGGATAATGGCCCCCAGTTCCATTAATGTTGCTACAAGATACGTGATTTCATTCTTTTTATGGCTGGATAATATTACATGGTGTGTGTATAGGATAGTAGTACATGGTGTGTGTATACACACACACACACACACACACACGCACGCACACATACCCACACACATTTTCTTTATCCAATCATCCACTGATGGACACTTAGGTTGATTCCCTATCTTTGCTACTGTGAATAGTGCTGTGATAAACATACAAATGCAGGCATACTTTTTATATAATGATTTCTTTTCCTGGGGTAGATACCCAGAAGTGAGATTGCTGGATTAAATCATAGTTCTATTTTTAGCTCTTTGAGAAACCACCATACTGTTTTCATACAGGTTGTACTAATTTATATTCCAACCAACAGTGTATAAACACTCCCTTTTTGCTACATCCTTGCCAAAATCTGTTTTTTGACTTTTTTAATAATAGCCATTCCGCCTGGTATGAGATGGTATCTCATTGTGGCCCTAAAATCTGCACTTCTCTGGTAATTAGTAATGTTGAACATTTCTTTCATGTTTGTTGGCAACCCCTTGAGATGTCTTCTTTTGAGAAATGTTCACTCATGACCTTTGCCTGTTTTTAATGGGGTTATCTGTTTTTTACTTGTTGAGTTCCTTATAGATTCTGGATATTTAGTCCTTTGTCAGATACATAGTTTGCAAATACTGTAGATTGTCTGTTTACTCTGTTGATTATTTCTTTTGCTGTGCAGGAGCTTTTTAGTTTAGTTGAGTCCCATTTGTCTATTTTTGTTTTTGTTGCATTTGCTTTTGAGATTAGTCATAAATCTTTGTCTAGGCCAATGTCCAGAAGTTTTTCCTAGGGTTTCTTATAGGATTTTTATTGTTTCAGGTCTTACATTTAAGACTCATTTCATGAGTTCTCTATATATTCCAGATATTTTTTATCAGATATATCATTAGGAAGTATTTTCTCTTATTCTATGAGTTACCTTTTTCACTCTTGTTATTGTCTTTTGATGCACAAAATGTTAAAATTTCCATGAAGTACAATTTGTCCATGTTTTCTTTCGTGGCCTGTGCTTCTGGTGTCATATCCCAGAAATCACTGCCAAATCCAATGTTGTGAAGCTTCTGCCCTAAGTTTTCTTCTAAGACTTTTATAGTTTTAGGCCTTATCTTACATTTAGGTATTTGATCCATTTTGAGTTAATTTTCATATATTATGTTAGTTAGGTAAGGGCTAACTTCATTCTTTAAAATGTGAATATCCAGTTACCCAGCACCATTTGCTGAAAGATCATCCACTTCCTTTTTTTTTTTTTTTTTTTTTTTTTGAGATGGAGTCTCACTCTGTTCTCTGTTGCCCAGGCTGGAATGCAGTAGCGTGATCTTGGCTCACTGCAACTTCTGCCTCCCAGGTTCAAGCAATTCTCCTGCCTCAGGCTCCCAAGTAGCTGTGATTACAGGTGCATGCCATCATGTCCAGCTAATTCTTTGTATTTTTAGTAGAGACAGGGTTTCACCATGTTGGCCAGGCTGGTCTTGAACTCCTGACCTCAAGCGATCCGCCTGCCTCGGCCTCTGAAAATGCTGGGATTACAGGCATGAGCCATTGCGCCCGGCTATCCACTTCCAACTGAATGGTCTTGACAACTTGTCAAAAAATATTTTGAACATGTATGCAAGGGTTTATTTTTGGGCTCTCTGTTCTATTCCATTGGGATTTTGATAGGAGGTGCACTGAATTTGTAGACTGCTGTGGGTAGTACTGAGATCATAACAATATTAAGTTTTCCAATCCACGAACAGAGTGTGTTTCTATTTGTCTTTTTACATGTCTTTCAGCAACATTTTGTAGTTTTCGGTGTATAAGCACATCATTTCCTTTGTTACTTTTATTCCTTAGCATTTTATTATTTTTGATACTATAAATAGTTTTGATACTATCATAGTTTTCTTAATTTCCTTTTCAGATTTTTCACTGTTAGTGTATAAAAATACAACTGATTTTTGTCAGTTGATTTTGTATTCTGCAACTTTGCTGCATTTATTAGTTGGGATTTTTTGTGGAATCTTTAGAGTTTTCTACTATAAGATCATATCATCTGCAAACGGATACTGCTTTACTTCTTCCCTTCTAATTTAGATGTCTTTTATTTATTTATTTTTCTTACTTAATTGCTCTGGACAGAACTTCCATTACTGTGCTGAATAGAAGTGGTGAAAGCAGGCATCTTTGCCTTGGCCCTGATTTTAGAAAAAACTGCTTTCTGTTTTAGGTTAGAGGGTATCAAGAACTGGATATAAAGAGAATAAAACAACTTTCTTGCGGTCAGTAGGTCTCAAAGTGCAGTCTGGGGATAGCTGAGGGTCTGCGAGACCCTTTCAGGGAGGCACTGAGATCAAATTTTCATAATTATATATGCATATATTTTTTAGAGTTGGGGTCTCACTCTGTTGCCCAGGCTGGAGTACAGTGGTGTGATCAAGGCTCACTGTAGCCAACTACCAGGTTTAAGCAATCCTCTCACATCAGCCTCCTGAATAGCTGAGAATATAGGTGGGTACTACCACGCTTAGCTGTTTTTAAAGTTTTTTTAGAGATGATGGTCGGGCGCAGTGGCTCATGCCTGTAATCTTAGCACTCTGGGAGGCTGAGGCAGGCAGATCACCTGAGGTCAGGAGCGTGAGACTAGCCTGGCCAACATGGTGAACCCTGTCTCTACTAAAAATACAAAAATTAGCCGGGTGGGGTTGCATGTGCCTGTAGTCCCAGCTACTCAGGAGGCAGGAGAATCGCTTGAACCTGGCAGGTGGAAGCTGCAGTGAGCTCGTGCCACCGCACTCTAGCCTGGGCGAACAGAGCGAGGTTCTGTCCCCAAACAAACAAACAAAAAAAAATTGTTTTTTAAAGAGATGAGTTCTAGCCCAGGCACGGTGGCTCACACCTATAATCCCAGCACTTTGGGAGGCCGAGGCAGGTGGATCACGAGGTAAGGAGTTCGAGACCAGCCTGACCAACATGGTGAAACCCCGTCTCTATTAAAAATACATAACTTAGCCGAGCGTGGTGGCATGCACCTGTAATCCCAGCTACTCAGGAGGCTGAGGCAGGATAATCGCTTGAACCCGGGAGGCGGAGGTTGCAGTGAGCTGAGATCACAGCACTGCACTCCAGCCTGGGTGACAGAGCGAGACTCTGTCTCAAAAATAAAGAGATGAGGTCTTGCCCAGGCTGATCTCAAACTACTGAGCTCAAGTGATCCTTCTGCCTCAGCCTCCTGAGTTGTTGGGCTTACAGGTGTGAGCCACCGCATCTAGCGCATGATTATATTGAGGTGCTATGCTCTTTTTCGCATTACTTTTTCTTATTTCCTACCTTCTCACAAGTATATGGAGGACAAAAATGTTTATTGATAAGGTTTCAGATTCCACACTGCAAGATTCCACACTGCAACTAACCTTAAACAAAATACCACTCTTAAGGTTTTTTTTTTGTTTTTTTTTTTTAAATGGAGTTTTGCTCTGTCATGCGCCACCATACCTGGCTAATTTTTGTATTTTTAGTAGAGATGGGGTTTCACCACACTGGCCAGGCTGGTCTCGAACTCCTTACCTCAAGTGATCCGCCTGCCTTGGCCTCCCAAAGTGCTGGGATTACAGACGTGAGATACCATGCCCGGCCCACTTTTAAGTTTTAATGTAATATTAAAGTATAGCCAAAACTATCTGAAAAGGCTATTAAGATTCTCTTCATTTTTCTAATTTTGTATCTGTATGAGGACATAGATTTCTACAAAAAAACACGTATCACTAGGGATTGACAGTATTAAGCAGACAGGAGAATCTAGCTTCTCCTATTACTACTGTGGTGAGAAGGATTTTTAAAATGTAGAGCAGGACGGGCATGGTGGCATGTGCCTGTAATCCTAGCACTTTGGGAAGCCAAGGTGGGAGGACTGCTTGAAGCCAGCCTGGGCAACAAAATGACACCCCATCTCTTTAAAAAAAAAATTCGAGTAATATCACTCTTCTAACTAAATTTTTTAAGTAGTTAATATTTTTTACTATTTTTTTTTTGTTTCTAGTTTTATGAATACATAATAATTATAACACACATTTATGGGGTACATGTGATATTTTGATACAAGGATACAATGTATAATGATCAAATCACAGTAACTGAGATATCCATCACCTCAAGTATTTATCATTTTTGCTGTGTTAGGAACATTTCAATTCCACTCTTTTGGTTATTTTAAAATATATATTATTGGGTTTTTTTTCAGTTTTTTTTTTATTATTTTTATTTTTTTTACTATAAGTTTTAGGGTACATGTGCACAACGTGCAGGTTTGTTACATATATATACATGTGCCATGTTGGTGTGATGCACCCGTTAACTCTTTATTTAACATTAGGTATCTCTCCTAATGCTATCCCTCCCCCCTCCCCCCACCCACAACAGTCCCCAGCGTGTGATGTTCCCCTTCCTGTGTCCATGTGTTCTCACTGTTCAATTCCCACCTATGAGTGAGAACATGTTGTGTTTGGTTTTTTGTCCTTGAAATAGTTTGCTGAGAATGATGGTTTCCAGCTTCATCCATGTCCCTACAAAGGACATGAACTCATCATTTTTTATGGCTGCATAGTATTCCATGGTGTATATCTGCCACATTTTCTTAATCCAGTCTATCGTTGTTGGACAATTGGGTTGGTTCCAAGTCTTTGCTATTGTGAATACTGCTGCAATAAACATAGGTGTGCATGTGTCTTTATAGCAGCATGTTTTATAATCCTTTGGGTATATACCCAGTAATGGGATGGCTGGGTCAAATGGTATTTCTAGTTCTAGATCCCTGAGGAAATGCCACACTGACTTCCACAATGGTTGAACTAGTTTACAGTCCCAACAACAGTGTAAAAGTGTTCCTATTTCCCCATATCCTCTCCAGCACCTGTTGTTTCCTGACTTTTTAATGATCACCATTCTAACTGGTGTGAGATGGTATCTCATTGTGGTTTTGATTTGCATTTCTCTGATGGCCAGTGATGATGAGCATTTTTTCATATGTCTGTTGGCTGCATAAATGTCTTCTTTTGAGAAGTGTATATCTTGAGAAGTGTGTATATATATACACACACATCTTCTTCATCCATTTATCCATTGATGGACACTTAGGTTGATTTTGTATCTTGGCTTTTGTGAATAGCACTGCAATAAACATGAGAGGACAAATATCTCTTACATATACTGATATTTTTTCTTTTGGACCTATACCCAGCAGTGGAATTGCTGGATCATATGGTAGGTCTATTTTTATCTTTTTGAGCAATTTCCATGCTGTATGTCCTTCATAGTGGCTGTACTAATTTACGTTTCCACCAACAATGTATGAGGGTTTCCCTTTCTCTGCATCCTTACCAGCATCCATTATTGCCTGTTTTTTATTTTTTGGTAAAAGCCATTTTAATTGGAGATATATCATTGTAGTTTTGATTTGCATTTCTCTAATGTAGTGATGTTGAGCATTTTTTCATATACCTGTTGGCCATTTGTATGTTTTCTTTTTAGAAATGTTTGCTGAGATCATTTGCCCATTAAAAATTTTTATAGTTATATTTTATTTTTTAAAAATTCAACTTTTGTTTGACACATGGGGGTATACATGCAGGTTTGTTACATGGGTATATTGCATTTGCCCACTATCAAATGGGATTTTTTGTTTTTTTTCTCTTATTGTTTGAGCTCCTTATATATTCTGGCTATTAATATCTTGTCAGATGGGTAGTTTGCAAATATTTTCTCCTCTTCTGTGTATTGTCTTTTCACTTTGTTGATTGTTTCCTTTGTTGTGCAGAAGCTTTTTAAGCTTGATGTGATACCGTTTATGCATTTTTGCTTTAGTTGCCTGTGCTTTTGATGTCTTACTTATCTTTGCCCAAATCAATGTACTGGAGTGTTTCCCCAGTGTTTACTTCCAGCAGTTTAATAGCTACAGATCTAACATTTAAGTCTTTAATCCATTTTGATTTGATTTTTGAAAATGGTGAGAGATAAGCACTTAGTTTCATTCCCTTAAATATGGATATCTAGTTGTCCCAGGATCATTTACTGAAGGGGCTGTTCTTTCCCTAACATATGTTCTTGTCATCTTTATAAAAAATAAGTTGACTGTAACTGTGTGGATTTATTTCTGGATTCTCTATTCTGTTCCATTGGTCTCTGTCTGTTTTTAAGCCAGTACCATGTTGTTTTGGTTATGTAACTTTGCAGTATAATGCCTCCAGCTTTGTTCACTTTGCTCTGGATTGCCGTAGCTATTCAGGATCGTGTGCGGTTCAAGATAAATTTTAGGATTTTTTTTTTTTTTCTATTTCTGTCAAGAATGTCATCGGTATTTTGAGAGGAGTTGCACTGTATCTGCAGATTGCTTGGGGGTGGTATAGACATTTTAACAATATTGATTCTTCCAATACATGAACATGGACAATCTTTCCATTTCTTTGTGTCTTCTTCAATTTCTTGCATCATTGTTTTATAATAAGTTTTCATTGTAGAGATCTTTCACTGCTTTGGTTAACTTGATTAATTTCTAGGTATTTTATTTATTTGTAGCTATTCTGCAGGGGATTAATTTCTTGGTTTCTTTTTCAGATTGTTTGCTGTCAGTATATAGAAATGTGACTGATTGTATGTTGATTTTGTATCCTACAACTTCACTGAATTTATCAATTCTAATAGTTTTTTTCTAAATATAAGATTATATTGTCTACTAACAAGAGTAGTTTGACTCCTTCCTTTCCCTTTTGGATGCCTTTTATTTATTTCTGTTGTCTAATTGCTCTGGCAAGGATTTCCAGTACTATATTAACAGTGGTGAAAGTGGGCATCCTTGTCTTGTTTCCAGAATTTAAAGGAAAGTATTTCATTTTTCCCCCATTCAGTATGATACTAGCTGTGGGTTTGTTGTTGTTTATTATGTTGAGGTATGTTCCTTCTATACCCAGTTTGTTGAGAGCTGTTATCACAAAGAGATGCTGAATTTTATCAAACACTTTTTCAGTTAGTATTGAAATGATCATATGGTTTTTGTTCTTCATTTTGTTGATGTGTCACAGTTATTGACTGCATATATTTAAACATCCTTGCATACCTGGGATGAATCCCACTTGATCATGATGAATTATCTTTTTAATGTGCCTTTGAATTCAATTCACTAGTATTGTGTTGAAGATTTTTATATCTACTTCATCAGATATATCGGCCTGTAGTTCTCATTTTTTGTAGTGTCTTTCTTTGGTTTTGGTATCAGGGTAATACTGGCAAGTTTGGAAGTATTTTCTCCTCCTCAAGTTTTTGGAACAGTCTGAGTAGAACTCTTATTAGCTCTTCTTTCAGCGTTTGGCAGAATTCAGTAGCGAAAACACCAGGTCCTGGTCTACTTTGATAAGAGGCTTTTTACTACCGCTTCCATCTTGTTAATGTTGTTCTATTCAAGTTTTGGATTTCTTCATGGTTCAATCTTGGTATGTTTTTATGTGTCTCGGAATTCATCCATTTCTTCTAAGTTTTCCAATTTACTGCATATAGTTGCTCATAATAGTCTCTAAAATATTTTGAATTTCTGTGTTATCAGATGTAATGACTCCTTTTTCATCTCTGATTTTATTCATATGGATATTCTCTCTTTTACAGTCCGGCTAAAGGTTTGTTGATTTTGCTTATCTTTTAAAAAAAAAAAACAACTTTTTCTTTCATCCATCTTTTGTACTATTTTTAGTATCAATTCATTAATTTCTGCCCCAATCTTTATCATTTCTTTTCTTCTAATAATTTTGGGTTTGGTTTCCTCTTGCTTTTCTAGTTATTATTTATTTTAAAAATTTGTATAAACGTAAGGGGTGCGAGTGCAGTTTTGTTACATGGATTTATTGCAGAGTGGTAAAGTCTGGGCTTTTCTTATATTCATCACCTGAATTATGTACACTGCATACATTGCAGCCATTAAGTAATTTCTCACCATCTACTCCCTGCCCATCCCCCACCCTTCCAAGTCTCTATTATTTCACACTCTATATCCCTATGTACACATTATTTAGCTCCCACTTATAAATGAGAACATGTGGTATCTGTTCTGAGTTGTTTGCTTAAGATAATGGCCTCAGTTCCATCCATGTTGCTGCAAAAGACATGGTTTCATTCTTTTTTAAAATGTCTGAACAATATTCCATTGTGTATATATACACCACATTTTCTTTATCCAATCATCTGTTGATGGACCCTTAGGTTGATTCTACATCTTGGCTATTGTGACTAGTGCTGCAATATACATACAAATCAGGTATCTTTTTTATACAATTTCTTTTCCTTTAGATAGATACCCAGTAGTGTGACTGCTGGAACTAATTCTTCAAGACACACTGTTAGGTTGTTTATTTGAAGTGTCTGTACTTTTTGGATGCAGGGATTTATTGCTATAATCTTCCCTCCTAGTACTACTTTTGCCGTATCCTACAGGTTTTGGTATGTTGTGTTTCCATTTTCATTTGCTTCAGGAAAATTTAAAATTTTCTCTTAATTTCTTCATTGACCCAAGGGCCATTCAGAAACATAATGTTTAATTTCCATTTATTTGTATAGTTTCCAAAGTTCCTCTTGTTATTGATTTCTGGTTTTATTTCATTATGGTCAGAAAATATACTTGATTGAATTTTAATCTTTTGAATTTTGTGAGACTTGTTTTGTGGCTTAACATTTGGTTTATCCTTGAGAATGTTCCATTTGTTGAGGAAAAGAATGTATATTCTACAGCTGTTGGATGAAATGTTCTACAGATGTCTATTAGGTGAAAGTTATTTTTAATAAACAATGGATTAATAAACATATAGGTTTACTTGTAATATTATATATATATATATATATATATATATATATATATATATATATATATATATATATATATATATATATGTTTCAGAGACAAGGTCTTGCTCTGTTGCCCAGGCTGGAGTGCAATGGCATAATCGTGGCTCACTGAAGTCCTGACCTCCTGGGCTTCCGTCCTCCTGCCTCAGCCTTGTGAGCAGCTGGGACTACAGGCTCACAACACACATGGCTAATTTTATTTTTATATTCTTTTGTAGAGATGAGGTCTTGCTATGTTGCCCAGGCTGGTCTTAAACTCCCAGCCTCAAGCTGTCCTCCCGCCTTGGCCTCCCAAAGTGCTGAGTTACAGGCATGACCCATTACAACTGGCCAATTTTTTTTGTTTTAATTTCAAACACAGTAAATATGGATATAAGTAAACAAAATCTCTTTGGGGTCCTCCAAAAAAAGTGTGAAGTTTCTGAGACCAAAAAGTTTGAAAATTGCTACTGTAGGCCAAGATCCCTGGCTCTATTAGTTTGAGGAATCTTGCCAGGATACCTGCTGCCCAGTTCCTCCCTGTCAGCTTCTCTTAGGGCTTTGGTTATGTATAAATATTAGAGCTAGGGTAAGAAGCATAAATCTATGCTGCTCATAAAGTTAAGAAAAATAGGCCCCATTTTATTTTTTCTAGCTAAACATTTTCAACCAATTTATTTAAGCTTAATGTTAAATAATTTATATAAATAGAACAGTAGTATACTATACCTGTGGCATCCTAAGAAAGGAGAAATCAGGTTGTGGCATTCCAACAAGGGAACAAATTCGAGAAAGTTCAGTTACTGGTGTGGATACAGGAGGGATCTGGCTGGGGGCAGGCCAACACATATTGTCCATAGACTGAACATTATGGTACTCATTAGCACTGTGAGGCTTGTTCATATAAGATGCTACCAAAAAAGAGAAAAGAGTCTATCTTTATTAATAAAATACTATCTCAAATTATGCACTTATTGTAGGGTTTTATAGAAGAGCAAGCAGGAAACTGCTAAAAAGTGAAGTGAATTGCTCAAGGCCACCCATTATTAAATAACAGAATCAGGATTTCAGGTGGCTCTAGTTCCAAATCCTGGACTCTAGCAGTACAACCTGCCATCCAAGTGACTGTCAGCTTACCTTCAGTGGTCCTCTGGCCACGCACCTTATAAATTTGGTCGAAAACCTTGAAAAATTCAGTTAGACGCTATAGAGCCACCAACTGCATTAAAAAGATGAGTCTTCCATGAAGCACATATAAACAACTATTTAGTACTTCCTAAAATTATTGTGACTTCAGTAAAGGTTTTTGGATGAGTATAATTGATTAATGATAAATTATTAAGATAAAGATTTTAAAATATAAGTACCTAACTGCCAAAAATTAAAACCTTGAGCAGCTAATGACTACATGGTACTGCTACAGGTAAAATTTGAACAAACAAATGGCTTTCTTGTTTTGCAGAAGTAAGAAGAGAAAAATAAAAGAATGAATAAACAAATGGCTTTCTTGAGCTGAAATATAATTCATCCTTAAGTTTTGAAGTTTTGGCTTCCACCTCAATTCTTGCAATTCCACCTTACATTCTGAGACACATGGATGAATATTTTTGTGGCTCTGAAATAATATTTCTTAAAAGTTTTTTTTGAAATTGTCTTCTAAGTGTTTTTATATGGAAGATGATTTTAAAATTCTGAGTGTTCACATTCTTTATGATTAACAAACTCACTAATAGAACAAAAGCATACCTCATTGAAGAATTAATCCAAACTTCTTACTAATATAGATTAAAAAAGCAGTTAAGTGGCTTGCTCAAAGTCACAGAGCCAGTTAGTTCTATAACAGGGGCTGGATTCTGAGCTAGTGACCCTAAGACTCTAAAGCCTATGAGTTTTTTTTTTTTTTTTTCCTATACTGAAATAAAGTAAAACTTACTTGTTTTTGACAATGGGACCATCTTTATCTAATTTTGTCTTAAAATTAATTTGGTTCTATTTCAGGACCATGTCTGTCACTATAATAAATAATCAGGTTCCTAATATTTTTTGGAATTTTTAATTAATTATCACTGGAATATAAATGGGGTTAGGTTCTGCTTTTATTCCAGGTTTTGTTTTTGTTTTGACAGAGTTTCGCTCTTGTTGCCCAGGCTCGAGTGTGATGGCGTGATCTTGGCTCACTGCAACCTCCACCTCCCGGGTTCAAGCGATTCTCCTGATTCAGCCTCTGAAGTAGCTGGGATTACAGCTACTTGGTGGCGCCTGCCACCACACCCGGCTAATTTTTTGTATTTTTAGTAGAAAGGGGGTTTCACCATGTTGGCCAGGCTGGTCTCAAACTCCTGACCTCAGGTGATCCACCCGCCTTGGCCTCCCAAAGTGCTGGCATTACAGATGTGGGCCAACGTGCCCAGCCAATTCCAGGTTTTGATCTTTAATACGCTTAGATCTGCTTATTCCAAAATGTTTTTGACTTCTCTGAGAAACTTCTGCCCACATCCACTTTTGTATCAGTCATTCTTCCTGGCTGCCTTTAGTAGATCATTATACAGATAAAATGCTAAAGTATAGAGGACATTCAGGGTAGGAACAAATATGGCGGATATTTACTGAAATCCAGTTATGTGCCAGATGTTATGCTATAGGCTTTACAGACTTAAGAGTATGACTCACTTTCCTATATCTAACTCTATTAATGATTTTTAATTGATTTTGTAGATTTTTCTATTTTTACAACAGTTAGGTTATTTTAACATAATATTAATATCAATTATTAGCACCTACAATGTGTTGGACATAGTGCTGTTTTATATTTATACATGTTATATAATTACCACAAGTAATCTGTAATGTATTATTCTTATTTTATAAATAAGAAACAAGATTTCAGAAAAGTTAAATAATGTATTTAAGTTACATGATAATTTTTAAATTACTGAGGACAAAAGCTAGAATGTGCAAACTTTTAAAGGTTTGGATGTCTACAGAATGATTATCTATAACACTACAATTAAGTAATCACAAGAAGACATTTAGTGACTGTAGATCTATTGGTTACATGGTTGTATTATTATTGTTCTTTTTGTTTTTTGAGACAGGGTCTATCTCTGTTGCCCAGGTTAGAGTGCAGTGGCGTGATCTTGGCTCACTGCAACCTCTGCCTCCAAGGCTCAAGCAATCCTACCACGTCAGCCTCCCCAGTAGCTGGGACTACAGGCACACGCCACCACACCTAGCTAACTTTTGTATTTTTTAGAGAGACAGAGTTTCCGCCATGTTGCCCAGGCTGGTCTTGAACTCCTGAGCTTAAGAGATCCGCCTGCCTCAGCTTCCCAAAGTTCTGAGATTACAGGCATGAGCCACACCTGGCCAGTTATATTATTATATAACTGAAACAAATATAAAAATTATAGTTTTAAGAATAAAAGTAGTTTTGGGCCAGGTGTGGTGGCATATACCTGTAATCCCAGCACTTTGGGAGGCTGAAGTGAGAGGATTGCTTGAGGTCAGAAGTTTGAGACCAGCCTGGCCAACACAGCAAGACACCATCTCTAAAATAAATAAATACATTAAAATAAAAGCAGTTTTATCTTTAAAAGTACATGATTAAAAAGAACCAAATGAATTGAATTTTTAAAATGATATTATTGGTAATAGTATTTAGTTTACTTACCTAATTTCTTATTTTGTTTAGGCTGAGAGGGTAATCCATATTCATCTCTTCTGTTAGAGGAAACAGGGATTTCATTAGCAATCTGTTTGATTTCATTCTTATGGTCCACAGTGTTAGAGCCATCAATTTTTAGAATTTCTTTAAGCATCCGTGTTCCCTTCTTTTTGAAAATGATTCACATGGAGATGGTGAGGGTGAAGAGAACAAAGTCAACATTACATCTGTAGAACTTATTGATCTTTCTTGGAAAGAATTCCATTGTTAACAATTAAGACATTAACTACATTCAGATAGAAACTGAAAAAAAAAAACCCAACACCCACATTTCTGATACAGAAACGATACTTATCCTCCTGCTTAACTTTCATCCCAGTTACCTAGTAGCAATGTTTGAAAAGCAGGGGAACTGTGGTCTAAAGAGAAAAAGTATGGCTAAATTGCCCAGGGCAGCCTGGTTTCCTCACAAGATGACAATAATGATGTAACATACCAGCCTCCATGATGGAAGTGTTTGAACACTTGCATGGGATATGTCTGCATGGTCAACAGTCGAGAAATTACCACAGTAAGAAAGTTCCTACAAAATACGAACCATGGCAAATGACTGTGGTGACAAATGCTCTTCACTTGGAGGCTCCCCATGATGAGATGACTGTACTTCATTTTCTTTGGAGATATTCAAAGATGCTAAAAAGTTCTCAATTCCAGAGTTAGGCTAAAAGAATAAATATTTTGGGCATGAAGATGAACGTATAATACAAGAACACACAAAAAGCTGAGTTTTATGTACAAAAATGGTCATTCGATTTTCACTCAATCATCTTCCCAGGTGTTAAAGTTTGGGAAGAGAATTGGAATAAATAGTTTTTTACCTTATCAATAGCATTTGGATAACCAGTCACAACCTTTTGGGTTTCTGAGACTTCTGGACTTTCATTTCTCTTCAATAGCTTAATATTATATTTGGCAGGCCCTTCTAAAGTCTATTAAAAAAGTAAGAATAAACTTTTTGTGCAAATATATTTATAGTTAATATGTAATAGTGTTCTAAATAAATTGTTGCAAAAAAATTTTATGTGCTATTTTCCCTTTTGTATCATAAGAAAAGGGGCCTATAAACTTGGATGGGGAAAATTACACCTTAATCTTCATTAACCTCTCAATGAGATTTAGCATTTCCTGCAATTATGAATATAGGCAACAAAACACTTATATGGTCTGCATGTTTGTATTCCCCCAAAATTCTTCTGTTAAAATCCTAACTCCTAATGGGATCATATTAGGAGGTGGGGCCTTTGGTAGGTAATTAAGTTTAGATGAGGTCTTTAGGGTGCAACATCCATGATGGTATTAGTGTCCTTATATGAATAGAAAGAGAATAGAGCTCTTTCTCTCCATCATGTTAGAATATGAGAAGACGCATCATCTGCAAGCCAGAAAGGGAGCCCCCACCAGACAATGGCACTTTACCGGATTCTAACTGTATTTCAATATAACTGGTTTTCTCTTAAATCTTTTTAGCATTAAAGACATTATTCTGCTAGTGCCTTGATCTTGGACTTCTCAGATTCCAGAGCTGTGAGAAATAAATGTTTATTGTTCAAATGTACCTAGTCTATGGTATTGTTATTATAGCAGCCCAAATCAACTATGAAAACCACAACAGTGGTGATTCTAATTGTATATCAGTATAACTGGTTTTCTTTAAAATCGTATGTATTTTATTTTAGCATTAAAAATACTATTCTGAGAATAATAATGGCTTCACCAAAAGTCCATGGGCTTCACCAAAGATGTCTATTGAACAAAAAGTTTATCAATCCCTTTTCTAGAAGAAAGGAAATTACAGTATAAGAGTTTCAAATGGAGAGGGCCTTAAAAGTCAAGTAATTAAACCGTTTACTGGTATCTAAACATTAATGGGTTCCATTTACTACCTGTTATGTGCCAAATATTCAGCTAAGACCTTTTATAAATTTAATATATTACTATAAGAGATCAATTTAAAAAAATATATATTAAAATATGATAGGCATACAGAAAAGTACACATCTAATAAATATACGTGTCAAATTTTTTTAGATCAAAGATTTGTTATTCTTTCATTATAAAATGCATCCATAATCCTTGTAAACAGCAGAGACTATATAAAGTAAAACATAAATGATCTTGGCTTCCCCCACACCAATCTAATTCCACAGAAGTTAGCCTGTTAAATTTGCTATTTTGTTCCATGTACTTCAATTGTATATGTAAATATATATTTCTATGTATATATATAAGACCATATATATGTCTATGTGTATATATATAAGACCATATATATATGTCTATGTGTATATATATAAGACCATATATAATGTCTATGTGTGTGTATATATATGTCTATGTATACACACACACACACACACACACACACACACACACAAAAGACCATATATATTGGGAGCAACTACAAGTGATTAATTTTTTTTTTTTTTTGAGACAGAGTCTCACTGTTGCCCAGGCTGGAGTGCAGTGGTGCGATTTCAGCTCACTGCGACCTTTGCCTCATGGGTTCAAGTGATTCTCCTGCCTCAGCCTCCCGAGTAACTGGGACTACAGCAGGCACATGCCACCACGCCTGGCTGATTTTTTTGTATTTTTAGTAGAGACGGGGTTTTACCATGTTGGCAAGGCTGGTCTCGAACTCCTGACCTCAGGTGATCCGCCCACCTTGGCCTCCCAAAGTGCTAGGATTACAGGCATGAGCCACCACGCCTGGACAAGTGATTAATATTTTTATCTCCACTTAAAGATGAGAAAATTGAGGCTGTGAGAGGTAAAGTGAATTGCTCAAGGCCACCCAACTATTAAATGAGAGAATCAGGATTTCAGGTGCCTCTAGTTCCAAATCCAGGACTTTAGGTGTACAACCTCCCATCCAAGTGACTGTCAGCTTAACTTCAGTGACCCTCTGGCCACACACCTTATAAATTTGGTTGAAAAGGTTGAGAAATTCAGTCCAATGCTACAGAGCCACCAATTGCATTAAAAAATTGGTAACTAGAAATTTGATTTTAAGGAAGCTTACCTGCTTATTGGACATTTTTTGGGACCAACACTCAGCTTTAGGACTCTTACACTCTTCTTTAACTAGAGACAAGAAAACAGAAATTTTCATAAATGGAAGTGTTTACTGCACAATTAAAACTACCAAATATTTATAATAGCAAGGCACTGTGTTAAAAATTCAGAGAATTTCAAGACACAGTCTCTGAACTTAAGGAATTTATAACATAGATAAGGGGGAGAAGAGACACTTAGATAATAATAGAGAAAATGGAAAGGTGGCATCTGAATTGGGCCTCGAAGGAGGTAGGTTCTAAAGGGCAGACTAAGAAGTTAAGTACTCCAGGCAAAGCAAATAGTGGGAAAAAAGACATGGAAGCAGAAAGCAAGTTCCACTGGAAGTTAAGGGTAAAATGGAGCTTGAGAGAACTAAAAAAGCAGGTTAGAGCCATAATCTGCAAGTCACTGAAGACTACGGTATTATATTAAGTTGGTAGGAAATGGGCAGCCAGTAACAGAAAGGTTTAAGCAGGTAGTAATCTGATGAGAACTGTGCTTTAGGACGATTAAAATATGGCCATAGCCTATTGGCTAAATAGAAGAATAGTACAAGACCAACTCAGGCAGCTATTTTAATAGTTCTGTTAAGGGGAAATTGGGGGATGGTAGGAGAAATGAAAAGAATGAATTTGAAAAATTCTAGGATTTAGCAAATGACAGGATGTGAAGATGAAGGAGATAGGAAAGGATGAATTTGAGAGATTATTTTCATAGGATTTGGTAAATGACAGAATATGAAGATGAAAAATATGAGGGGCATGAGGTAGATATGAAGAAGCACAAAAAGCATAGTTTGTAATTATTGCATAATATTCTATTATATTGGATATACTGGATTATATAGCTATATAGATCTACTATAACTTATTTTTACCACTTTCTATCACTAGACTGTTCATTAAGCCAGTCTGAAAAAATAAAAAGGTGGGTGGAAAGAGAAGAGGAAAAAGGAAGGAAGGAAGGAAGGGAAGGGAGGGAGGGAGGCAATATTAAAAAAGAAAGAGAGGCTGAGGAAAGAAGCAGGGGAAGGGGAATAGTGAGGAGGGCATGGGAGGAGGGAATGAGATCAGAGACAGGGGAAGGAAGGACAAAGGGGAGAAGGAAGGGTAAGAGAAGGAATAGAGAGAGAGGAAAAGAGAAGGGGAGGAAGGGGAGTAAAGGAAGGTAATGGAGGTAAGGAAGAGAGGAAGGGAAGAAAGTAATCTTACAAAACAAAGGAAAAGAAAATGTGAGCTGACAAGCATTAACACTAAACATTTGTTGAGACATACACAAAAGAAAACTAACTGGAACTCCACATAACTCAAATAGTTTACATACATTTATGTAAATATTAGTTTGGAGAAAAATTAAAATCCATTTGAATATAACACCTTTATGCTATATTTATCATTATCAGATTTACAGGGACATTAATCTGTATTTAACTTAAAGAGTAAAATAAACCAAAATAACATACAGATACTGGTATTAAAAAAAGGTATAGCACTTACCAAACTGAACCAAAGTTAAAAACCACAAAATTTTTTTTGAAAATAGCTTTTTAGAAAAATGTTTAAAAGATTTTAATACCTATAATATATAGATAAATAAAATACCATGCATATATAAAATATAATAAGTTAGACTCAGGGGTCTGCACTTGATATTTCCTCTACTGGAAAGTTCTTCAGCCAGCTTTGCATAGTTCATGCCTTCCTGAGCCCTTTATTAGGGTCTCTGCTGGAATCTCATCTCCTCAGAAAGGCCTTTCTTGTAAACCCAATTTAAAAGAGCACCCCTGTCACTCTATCCTCTTAATCTGTTTTACTTTTTCATCATAGCACTTATTATTACTTCAGATTATGGAATTTACTGTTTACTTGCTTATTATCAGTCTTCATCTTAGAGTGTAAACTCCATTATACTCTAGGAGGTCAGAAAATTTGTCTTCCTTTTTAGTCATGTATCCCCAGCATCTAGAACAGTGCCTTGTACTCAATAAATAGTAGTTGAATAAATAAACGAATAACAAATGAGTCATATTTTGAACATAAAGAATAATTTTCTGCAATTTGGAAATCCTTTGGTCAAGGGAAGAGAAATAATTACTACAGGATGAAGATTCTCATTCCCAACTGTGCCTGAACACAGTAGACACTACTGAAGAAATTTAAAGAGTATAAACATATAAATTATGTGAGAGAATATTAACAAAATATTTGCACCTATTTTAAAGAAAAGCCTGTAATATAATTTGGAGTATATAATAGGCAAGTGTTTATAAGCAGAAAAGTAACTGGATCACTCTAAGATTTATCTCAAGTTGTTAGGGAAGGGACATCAGCAAAATGTCAGAGTAAGGACCTCCAAAAATTCTCTCCTCCATAAAATCAACAAGAGAATGGGCATAAATTAGCAGAATTCATATTTTCAGAACCACAGAAGTTAACCAAAGGCTTGCAGCAATCTAGGGAGTGTTTATTCAAGAAAAAAGACAGTGGGAACTTGAGTACCTGCAAGCCTTGCCCCCATGGACTGAAGTGCTTTGGAGCCTTAAATAAACCTGAAAGGCTGTCCAGGCCACAAGGACTACACGTCCTAGTGTTGAGTTGGGCTTGCAGCCTTTTACTTGCTAGGCATGTGACTTACTGAGACTCTTGCTGGGGCAGCTAAGGAAGTGCTTGTGCCACCACTTCCCCAACTCCCCCAACCCCAGGCAACACAGCTTGAGGCTCCAAAAGACATCCCTCTCTTCCACTTGACGAAAGAAAAGGGAAGAGTAAAGAGGACTTTTGTATCTTGGATACCAACTCAGGCTTGTGTCAGAGTCATGAGACCCCATTTCAGGCCTTAGCACTCCTGGATGACATCTCTAGACACGCCCTGGGCCAGAAGGGAACCTACAGTCCTGAAGGGAAGAACCCAGTCCTGGCAGGATTCATCACTTGTTAACTAAAGAACCCTTGGGACTGAAACAACCAGCAGCGATACCAGGTAGTATCCATGTGCCTTCGATAAGAGTCTGAGACATGCTGGCTTCATAAGAGACCCAGCACATGCCCAGCTGTGGTGATTATACTGAGAGAGTCCTGCTTGAGAAAAGCAGAGGGAAAAGTAAAGGAGATTTTGTCTGCATCTTAGGTACCAGCTCTGCCAAGTGGGACAGAGCACTAAGTGGGCTCTCAGGGTCCCCAATTCCAGGGTGTGGTTTTTAGATGGCATTTCTAGATGTGCCTTGGGCCAGAGGGAACCCCACTGCCCTGAAGGGTGAGTCCCAGGCCAGGCAGCATTTATCACAAGCTGACTGAAGAACCCTTGGGAGTTCATCAGCAACAGCCTAGCAGTACTCCCCATGGGCGTGTGGTTGGTGACGGCCACGGGGAAATACTCTTCTGCCCGCAGAAAGTGAAGGGAAGAGTGGGAAGGGTAGTGGCTCAAGGTTTCAGGGCCAGCTTAGCTGCAGTACAACACAGATTTCTAAGGTTTTTAAATTCAGACCCTGTCTCCTGGATGGCATCTCAGGATCTACCTGGGACCTAAGGGAACACACTTCCCTAAAGGGAAGGACACAAGCCTGGCTGGTTTCACCATCTACTGATTATAGAGCACTAGGACCTTGAGTAAACACAGGTTGACAGCCAGGTATGGCGGGCTGTGGGCGAGATCCAGTACTGTGGTGGCTTCAGGTCTGACCTAGTGCAGTCCCAGTGGTGGTGGCCACAGGGGTACCTGTGTCACCCCATCCCCAAGCCCAGGTGGCTCAGAAAGAGATACCCCATTTGTTTGGGAGAAAGTAAAGGAAGAGAACAAGAGTCTGCCTGGGAATCTGGAGAATTCTTTTGAATCTTCTCCAAGACCACCAAGATGGCACCTCTGATCCTGTAAGAACCACAGAATTATTGGTCTAGGTGTGCTCCTTAATGCAGATGTGGCTTAGATCACAAAATCCAAGTCATTTCAAATACTTGGAAAGTGTTCCCAAGAAGGACTGCTACAAACAAGCCCAGACTTTGAAGACTACGAGATGTATCTAACTCTTTAATCCCCAGACACCAACAAACATCAACAAGCATCAAGACCATCCAGCAAAAAACATGACTTCAACAAATTCAGTAAGGCACCAGGGACCAATCCTGGAGAAACAGAGATATGTGACCTTTCAGACAGAGAATTCAAAATAACTGTTTTGGTCAGGTGCATTGGCTCATGCCTGTAATCCCAGCACTTTGGGAAGCTGAGGTGGGAGGACTGACTGAGCCCAAGCGGTTGAGCCTGCAGTGAGACGTAATAGTACCACTGCACTCCAACAACAGGGCAAGACCCTGCCTCAAAAACAAAAACAAAAAACAAAAACAAACAAACAAAATCCCCAAATAGCTGTTTTGAGGAAACTCAAAGAAATTCTAGATAACACAGAGAAAGAATCAGAATTCTATCAGATACATTTCACAAAGATAGTGAAATAATTAAAAAGAATCAAGCAGAAATTCTGGAGTTGAAAAATGCAACTGACATACTGAAAAATGTATCAGAGTCTCATAATAGCAGAAGTGATTAAGCAGAAGAAAGAATCAGTGAGCTTGAATGGGCCATTTGAAAATATATAGGCTGGGCGCAGTGGCTCATGCCTGTAATCCCAGCACTTTGGGAGGCCGAGGTAGGTGGATCACCTGAGGTCGGGAGTTCGAGACCAGCCTGACCAACATGGAGAAACCCTGTCTCTACTAAAAATACAAAATTAGCCGGGCTTGGTGGCATATGCCTGTAATCCCAGCTACTTGGGAGGCTGAGGCAGGAGAATTGCTTGAACCCAGGAGGCGGAGGTAGCGGTGAGCTGAGATTGCACCACTGCACTCCAGCCTGGGCAATAAAAGTGAAACTCCATCTCAAAAACAACCACACACACAGAGAAGAGAAAAGAGAAAAGAATAAGAAAGAATGAAGCACGTCTACGAGATCTAGAAAACAGCCTCAAAAGGGCAAATCTAAGATTATTAGCCTTAAAGAGAAGGTAGAGAAAGAGGGGTAGAAAGTTTATTTGAAGAGATAATTTCACACAACTTCTCATATCTAGAGAAAGGTATCAATATCCAAGGACAAGAAGGTTATAGAATACTAAGCAGATTTAACCCAAAGAAGACTACCTCAAAGCATTTAATAATCAAACTCCCAAAGGTCAAAGATAAAGAAAAGATCATAAAGCAGCAAGAGAAAAGAAACAAATAACATACAATGGAACTACAATACATCTGGCAGCAGACTTTTCAGTGGAAATCTTACAGGCGAGAAGACAGTGGCATGACATATTTAAAGAGCTGAAGGAAAAAATTTTTTACCCTATAATAGTATATCTGACAAAAAATATCCTTCAAACATGAAGGAGAAATAAAGACTTTCTCAAACAAAAGCTGAGGAATTTCATCAACACCAGATCTGTCCTACAAGAAATGCTAAAGGGAGTACTTTATTCAGAAAGCAAAAAACATTAATGAGCAGTAAGACATTATTTGAAGGCACAAAACTCACTGATAATAGTAAGTACACAGAAAAACACATAACACTGTATGGTATGTAAACTACTCTTATAACTGATGAACCAATGAAAAAAATAACTATGACAACTTTTCAAGGCATAGACAATACAATAAGATATAAATAGAAACAGCAAAATATTATTAAGCAGGAGGATGAAGTTAAATTATAGATTTTTTATTAGTTTTCTTTTTGTTTATGCAAGCAGTGTTGTTAAGTGTTAAGTTGCTTAAAATAATGGGTTATAAGAGAATTTGCAAGACTCATAACTTCAAATCAAAAAACATAAACAGATACACAAAAAATAAAAAGCAAGAAATTATGTCACACCACTAGTGAAAATCACCTTCACTAAAAGGAAGCTAGGAAAGGAGGAAGAGAAGACCAAAAACAACCAGAAAACAAATAACAAAGTGGCAGGAGTAAGTCCTCACTTGTCAATAATAACAAAAGGAAGAATAATAAATAATAATAAAAGGAAGAATAATAATAAAAGGAAGACAGGAAAGGAGGAAGGGAAGACCAAAAAACAACCAGAAAACAAATATCGAAGTGGCAGGAAGAAGTCCTCACTTGTCAATAATAACACTGAATGTCAATGAACTAAACTCTAATCAAAAGACATAGAGTGGCTGAATGGATTAAAAAAAGGACCCAATGATCTGTTGCCTAACAGAAACACACATCACCTATAAAGACACATGCAGACAAATAAAGGGATGGAAAAAGTTATCCAATGTCAATGGAAACCAAAATGGAGCAGGGGTTAGCTATACTTATATTAGACAAAATACATTTCAAGACAAAAACAATAAGACACAAGGAAGATCATTATATAATGATAAAGAGGTCAATTCAGCAAGAGGATATAACAACTGTATAAAAACAATTGTAAAAAAATATATTTCCAACACTGGAGCACCCAGGTATATAGAGCAAATATTACTGGAGCTAAAGAAAGAGATAAATCCAAATATAGTAATAGCTGGATACGTCAAGATTCCACTTTCAGCATTGTACTGACTTTCCAGATGGGAACCAAACAATATTTGGAAAAACCTGAATACTCCACCAAAAAACTATCAGAACTGATAAATTCAGTAAAGTTTCAGGATGCAAAATCAACATACAAAAATCAGTAGCATTTTTATATGTTAACGGCAAACAATCTGAAAAAGATATCAAGAAAGTAATTCCATTTACAATAGCTACAGATAAAACTAATTACCTAGGAATTAACCAAAGAGTTCTCTACAATGAAAACTATAAAACATTGATGCAAGAAATTGAAGAGGACACAAAAAAAGAGAAAGATATTCCAAGGTTCACAGACTGGAAGAATCAATATTGTTAAAATGTCCTATTACTCAAAGGGATCTACAGATTCAATGCAATCCCTGTCAAAATACCAATGAAATTCTTTACATAAATAGAAAAAACAATCATAAAATTTACATGGAACCACAAAAACCCCAGAATAGCCAAAGGTATCCTGAGCAAAAGGAACAAAACTGGAAGAATCACATTACCTGACTTCAAATCATACTACAGAACTATGGTAATGAAAATGGCATGGCACTGACATAAAAACAAACACACAGACCGGTGGAACAGAACAGTGAACCCAGAAATAAATCCACACATCTCATTTTTGACAAAGGCACCAAGAACATACATTGGGGAGAGAGTAGTCTCCTCAATAAATGGTGCTGGGAAAACTGGATATCCATGTGCAGAAAAATGAAACTAGACCTCCATCTCTTGCCATATACAAAAATCAAAATGGATTAAAGACTTAAGTCTAAGCCTAAAGTATGACAGTACTCAAAGAAAACATTGGGGAAACTCCGACACTGGACTGGGCAAAGATTTCTTGAGTAGTCCCCCACAAGCACAGGCAACCAAAGCAAAAATAAACAAATGGGATCACATCAAGTTAAAAAACTTCTACACAGCAAAGGAAACAATCAACAACATGAAGAGACAATACACAGAATGGGAAAAAATATTTGCAAACTATCCATCTGACAAGATGGATAATAACCAGAATATATAAGGAGCTCAAACAACTTTCTAGGAAAAAAATCTCATAATCTCATTAAAAAATGAGCAAAAGCTTCGAATAGACTTTTCTCAAAACAAGAGGCATAAATGGCAAACAGGTATATGAAAAGGTGCTCAGCCAGGCGCTCACACCTGTAATCCCAGCACTTTGGGAGGCCGAGGCATGTGGATCACGAGGTCAGGAGTTTGAGACCAGCCTGGCCAAGATGGTGAAACCCTGTCTCTACTAAAAATACAAAAACTAGCCAGGCGTGGTGGCACACGCCTGTAATCCCAGCTACTCAGGAGGCTGAGGCAGGAGAATCGCTTGAACCAGTGAGGCGAAGATTTCAGTGAGCTGAGATCGCACCATTGCACTCCAGCCTGGGCAACAAGAGCGAAATTCCGTCTTAAAAAAAAAAAAGAAAAAAAGAAAAGGTGCTCAACATCATTGATCATCAAAGAAATGCAAATCAAAACTATAATGAGATATCATGTCACCGCAGATAAAATGGCTTTTATCCAAAAGATAGGGAGTAACAAACGCTGGTGAGGATGTGGAGAAAAAGGTACCCCTGTATACTGTTGGTGGAGATGTAAATTAGTACAAACACTATGGAGAACAATTTGGAGGTTTTGTAAAAAACTAAAAATAGAGCTACCAAATAATTCAGCAATCTCACTGCTAGGTATATACCCCAAAGAAAGGAAATCAATATATTGCAGAGATTATCTCCACTTTCATGTTTGTTGCAGCACTGTTCACAACAGCTAAGATTTGGAAACAACCTAAGTGTCCATCAACAGGTGAACAGATAAAGAAAATGTGGTACATATACACAATGGAGTACTATTCGGCCATAAAAAAAGAATGAGATCCTGTCATTTGCAACAACATGGATCAAACTGGAGATCATATGTTAGGTGAAATAAGCCAGGCACAGAAAGACAAATTTCACATGTTTTCATTTATTTGTGGGAGCTAAAAATTAAAAACGACTGAACTCATGAAAATAGAGTAGAAGGATGGTTACTAGAGGCTGGGAAGAGTAGTGGGGGGGAGGGGTGGGAAGTGGGGATGGTTAGCAGGTACAAAAAAATAGATGAATTAGACCTAGTATTTGCTAGCATAATGGGGTGACTATAATAAAAATAATTGTATATTTTTAAATAAATAAGAGAACATAATTATGTTGTTTCTAACATAAAAGATAAATGCTTGAGGTGATGAATACCCTATTTACCCTGATGTGATCATTATGCATTGCATGCCTGTAACAAAATATCTCATGTAACCCATAAATATATATACCTACTATGTATCCACAAAAATTAAAAATAAAAGATAAAAAACAAATAAAAGGCAAGGATGCATGTTCTCACCACTTCTATTCAGCACTGTACTAGCTGTTGTAAACACAGCAATTAGGCAACAAAAGAAATAAAAGGCATTGAGATTATATAGGAAAAAGTAAAACTATCTCTATTTGCAGAAGCCACAAAAAATTAGGGCTAATAAACAGTTAAGGCAATATACAAAAATCAGTTTTATATCTATAACAGAAATGAACAATCAAAAAATAAAATTAAAAACCCAGTTCCATTGAAAAAAGCATGAAAAAGAGTAAAATATTTAGGAATAAATTTAACAAAAAAGTGTAAGACTTGCATAACTGAAAACTACAAGACATCATGGAAAGAAATTAAAGACCGAAATAAATGGAAAGACATCTTGTGTTCATGGACAGGAAAACTTAATACTGTTAAGATGACAATACTACCCAAAGTAACCTACAGATTCAATGCAATCCCTATAAAAATTCCAGCTGCCATTTTTGCAGAAATAGGCAAGATGATCATAAAATTCATATGGAAATGCAAGAGGCCCAGAATAGAGAAAACAATCCTGAAAAAGAAAAACAAAGAGGGCTCAAACTTCCTGATTTCAAAACTTACAACAAAGCTACAGTAATCAAGACTGTGTATTTCACATAAGGACGGGCATATACATTAGTGGAATGGAATTGAGAGTCCAGAAATGAACCCATACATCTACAGTCAATTACTTCTTAAAAATGAGATGGTGTCTTAATATGTTTCCCGGGCTGGACTCAAACTCCTGGGTTCAAGCAATCCTCCTGCCTCAGACTCCTGGGCAGCTGGTACTACAGATGCATGCCTGGCTCTATAGCCAAATAATTTTTGACAAGGGTGCCAAGACTATTCAATGGGGTGTCAAGAAAATTCAATGGGGAAAGAGTAGTCTTTTTAACAAACAATGTTTGGATAAATGGATATCCACATGCAGAAGAATGAATATGAACTCCTACATCATACCATGTATAAACTTTTACTCAAAATGGAAAGAGACCTAAATCTAAAAGCTAAAACTATACAATTCTTAGAAGAAAACACACTGTAACTCTTTGTGACTTTGGATTAGGGAATGGTTTCTTAGATGTACACCTAAGGTACAAGCAACCAAAGACAAAGCAGAAAAAATACACAAATTGGACTTCATCAAAATTTAAAACTTTCGTGTTTCAATAGAGTATAAAGAAAGTTAAAAGAAAACCCACAGAATGGGAGAAAATATTTGCAAATCACATATCCAAGAAGCATGTAATATCTAGCATGTATAAAGAACTCTTACAAACCAAGAAAAAAGATTAAAAAATCCAATTAAAAAATGAACCAAGGATTTGAACTGACATTTCTCCAAAGATGATATACATGAAAAGATGCTCAACATTATTAGTCATTAATAAATTACAAATGAAAACCACAAGAACATTCCACCTCACACCTAGTAGGACGACTATTGTCAAAGAGAGGGACAATAACAAATGTTGTGAAGGATGTGGAGAAATTGGACCTTCACACATCCCTGGTGCAAAGGTAAAATGGTAATATCCAAACAGTTCGGCAGTTATACAAAAAGCTGAACTTAAGAGTTACCACTATATGACTCAGTAATTTCACTCATATGCATATACCCAAGAGAACTGAAAACATATGTTCACACAAAAACTTTTCCACAGATATTCATAGCAGCATTATTCACTATAGCCCCAATGTGGAAACAACCTCCATGTCTACAAATGGATGAACCGATAAAATGTAGCATTCATACAATGGAATATTATTCAGCCATAAGAAAGGATGAAGTACTGATACAGTTGTCCCTCCATATCTGTGGAAGATTGCTTCCAAGACCCTCCTGTGGCTATCAAAATCCACATATGTTCAAGTCCCTTACAGAAAATAGTGTAGTATTTGCATATAATCTACAAACATACTCTTTATATATTAAATAATCCCTAGATTACTTATAATGCTTGATACAATGTAAATGCTGTGTAAATAGTTGTCATACTGTATTGTTTAGGGGAATAATAAGATTAAAAAGTGTGCACATGTTGAGAGCAGACACAATCATCCTCTTTTTTTTTTTTTTGAGAAGGGGTCTCACTCTGTCACCCAGGCTGGAGTGTAGTGGCTGATCTTAGCTCACTGCAACCTCCGCCCCCCAGGCTCAAGCAATCCTTCTACCTCAGCCTCCTGAATAGCAGGGACTACAGGTGCATGCCACCACACCTGGCTAATTTTTGTATTTTTGGTAGAGATAGGGTTTTGCCATGTTGCCCAGGCTGGTCTTGAACTCCTGGGCTCAAGTGATCTGCCTGCCTTGGCCTCCCAAAGTGCTGGGATTACAGGCATGAGCCACCGTGCCCTGCCTTTTCTGAATATTTTTGATCCTCAGTTGGTTGAATCCATGGATGTGGAACCCACAGGTACAGAGGGCCGACTGAACATGCTACAACATAGATAAATCTTGAAAATACACAAGTGAAAGAAGCCAGTCATAAAAGTTCATATATTTTCTGATTCCATTTATATGAAGTGTCTAGAATAGGCATATCCATAGAGGCAGAAAGTAAACTATGGGTTGCCAAGGCCTGGAGGAGTGACTGCTAATAGGTATGGTGTTTCTTTTTCAGGTGACAAAAAATGTTCTAAATTTAGATGGTGGTGTTGGTTATACAATTTTGTGAAAATACAAAAAACCACTTATCGTATACTTTAAAATAATGAATTTACTTTATGGTATGTAAATTATATCAATAAAATGTTTATTTTTTTAAAAAAGAAGCAGCACACACAAGTACACCTTTCTAATTTAAAACTTACATTTTCTGTGAGGGTCATGTTTTCTTTGCTGATATTTAACACTGTTGTCATTAAAGCCAGATTTATGATGTTGATTTACTTGGCTTATTTCTTGAGGTAGAACTGCACCCTGAAAATTAAAATTCTTATAAATTAAACAAAATCTTAATATTATAACTACTTCTTATCTTCAACTTTTAATAAATACATTTTTATAAAAATTATATAGTTCCTTAGAAAAAAACTTAATACAGAAAAGTATAGAGACTTTTAAAGCCACTTGAACTCTATCACCAGACTCATTAACATAATGATCATCACTCTAGATATTTTTTCTATGCATTAGTTTGCAAGATATAAAGAAAACAATCATTTTATAAAAATGCTACTTTTTTTTTTTTTGAGACAGATTCTTGCTCTGTTACCAAGGCTGGAAGTGCAGTGGCACAATCTCGGCTCACTGCAACCTCTGCCTCCCGGGTTCATGTGACTCTCATGACTCAGCCTTCTGAGTAGCTGGGACTACACGTGAGTACCATCGTGCCTGGCTAGTTTTTGTATTTTCAGTAGAGACGGGGTTTCACCATGTTGGTCACGGTGGTCTCAAACTCCTGGCCTTAAGCAATTCTCCCACCTCGGCCTCCCAAAGTCCTTGGATTACAGGCATGAGCCACTGCACCCAGCCAAAAATCCTCCTTTCAATAAAAGAATTAAATCTAATTTTGCTTGATGTTAACAAATGCAGAAACCAAACAAAATACTAAACTTTAGGTAAATGTTTCTTCACCTTTAGAGAAATATCAGTCTCTAAAGATCCCCCTAGATTTGCTTCAAAATAATCCCATCCCTTGGGTAGGTGGAGGTGGGAAATGAGTAGGGGTTATAGAAGAAATAGTACTGGACTAGAGCATGGCAGGGAATGAATACTGGTGGGTTCATTCATTCTATTTACTTGATGTCATTATGGTTAAACTTTTCCATTAAAAAGTTTTAAAAAATTTATCATTTCTGGCTCTACATTATGAAAATTGAGGATGTTAGCACACTTACATTCCCTTCCATGTTAATTTTTATTAATCCCATGTTTTATTGGGATTAATAACAATCCCAATACCTGATTTTTATTAATATTTATATTGTCAAGGTTTTTAAATGTTGGAAGCCTTCAATATTAAATAGCCAGACTGATGATAAAGTTACAGTGATTGAGACAGTTCATAGACAGAATTAGCAAAATGGCATAAATTTCATATGAAGATTCTATCAGATCCTTTCATTTTTGGATAGGGAGAGAAAGCCTGAATGCAAAAAGAGATAGACAATTTCCCACAGTTGAAGCAACAAGAAGCAGCAGAAGTGGAGGCTAGAGAAGGTCAATACAAATGAATTATTTCACCGTTTTGCTTTTGGTAGGCTCTATTTACTTTCTTATCAGCACAGACAAATGGACACTGGGTACAAAGACACAACATGTCCTAACTGGTAGTGGGCATGCTCCAAAATAGTTGTGATATGCATGGGAGTACCAAGGAAGACCTAATGAGATCACATGGACAGAAACACTCAAGACTCTTCAGTTTTTTAAAAATCTATTTTTTATTTTTTTTGTAGAGACAGGGATCTTATTATGTTGCCCAGGCTGGTGTCGAACTCCTGGGCTTAAGTGTTCCTCCTGCCTTGGCCTCCCAAAGTGCTGGGATTACAGGCATGAGCCACTGTGCCCAGCCCAAGGCTCTTCAGTTTTGTTTTTTGTTTTTGAGACAGGGTGTTTGCTCTGTCACTGAGGCTGCAGTGCAGTGGGGTCATCCTGGCTCACTGCAACCTTCGACTCCTGGGTTCAAGTGATCCTCCTGCCTCAGTCTCCCGAATAGCTGGGGCTATGGGTATGTGCCACTATGCCTGGCTAATTTTCGTATTGTTTTGTAGAGATGGGATTTTGCCATGTTGCCCAGGTTGGTCTCGAACTCCTGGGCTCCAGTGACCTACCTGCGTTGGCCTTCAAAAGTGCTGGGATTACAGGTGTGAGCCACTGCGCCCGGCCAGCTTTTCAGTTATTAAGAGTCAAAATGGCATGAGATTTCTATCATCATGGCACAATGGCTGGTGGGGCTTTGGACTACAGCAGTACATTATGGGTGATTTTGACTCTAAGGAGAAGAATTAGAACATCAGGATAGAACAAGTATTGTCTGAGTGTCTTCTATGTGCCAGGTATGGTAAATGAACTGTGTACCCATTATTTTAATATCATTATAGTAATGCTACTAACTAAATAGTAAAATAAATAGTAAATAATATAATATTATTATTTACATTATTTTGGAGCTCTAACTCCAAAATCCATGTTCACAGTACTACTTCAGAGAAAAGGTAAGCCATATGTTTAATTAGTAAGCAAATATTTGGGTATAGTTCTTTAGGGTGTTCTGTTTGATATCTATATAAAGGTATTTGTACACATTGCCATGTTTTGCCAATGAAAGCTTGAATATTTCTTATCACAGTGAATTCTCTTGAATTTGCTCATCAGGTTAGGCTGCTTATTAATGCATATGCGTTATACTTGGGATCTCATAATTCTTAGGACATTTAAGAGATAAAACATGAGAGTGTTCAGCTGAAATAAACAATGAAATAGCACCAAGTAAGAGGGGTTGCATGTAGGAGATAATGAGAAAATATAATATCAAGTGATTCTCAAGGAAATAGGAGATTTTGACTGAGACCTAGGGGGTTATTTGTAGTGAGAGAAAAAATGGGCATTCTAAGTGGAAGGAACAAAAAGAACACATAACCCCAAATGGGAATCATCTGTGGGAAAGATAAAGTAAAGAGACCAGTCTAACTAGAACAGACTATTATGTCCAAATGGTTGGACATACATCATATAATTAGGTGGGGTTAGATTATAGAAGGCCTTAGACATTAGTTTGAGGAGTTGAGGCAGGATTCCAACCCTGGAGCTGTATATATTCCAGAGTACTACAGCAATACTATTTTGTGGCTGGAAAAGACCTTAGAGGTCATCTAAGTGAACTTCATTGTATACATGAGGACACAGAAGCCTAGGGAAATAAGCCTCTCTCTGAGGAGAGAGAGTATTCCAGACAAACTCAAAGGCCCTGTTGTGGGGACCATCCCTGGCATACTCAAGGAAGAGAAAGAAGACCATTATGGCTGTAGCAAAAATGTGAGTTATAGAAAATGTGATTAGAGAGGTGACACATCAATATTGTATGGGACATTCCAGGCCATTATATAAAAATAATGGCTTTTACTCAGTGAAACGGGGAATCAGTGGAGGGTTTTGAGCAGCAGAAGGACATGATCTCTGACATATTTTAATAGCATCACTCTGCCTGCTGTCTTGAGAATAGACTGTAGAGGAGCCAGGATGGAAGCAGATTACTAGACTACTGTAACCATCAAGGTGAGAGTTGGTATGAATTTGGAGTAGGGTAGTAGGAGCCTGTGAGAAATGGTCCAATTCTAGACATATTTGAAAGAGATTTACATATGATAATGAATTGGATATGAGGGTAAAAGAGAAAGGAAGGAGTAAAGGATGTGACTCTTAAGGTCTGAGTGAAAGGAGGGAGTGGCTATTAACTGAGATGGAAATGACATTAGGTAACGTAAGTTTGTGAGGGAAGAACAAGAGTTCAATTTTGGACATGGTAATTTGAGATGTATATTAAGTACCCAAGTGGAGACATAGAGTTGGACATTTGAGTGGAGATGAAGGGTTGAACACTGAGTCTAAATATCATGGAGGACTTCCAAGCTGGAAAGAGAAGTTTGGGAGACATGATGTATGTACTTTTGTAGGTATATATGTTTGTGTGTGTATCTATATCTATCTTATCTAAATCTATTTTTTTCTCTATCATCTATCTATCTGTCTATAATTATCTATCTATGTATCTATCTATGTATCTATGTATCTATCTATCTATCTATCTATGGAAATGGGTATAGATACAGAAGAAGTCCAATAATTTAGCCCTAGAGGATTCCATCTTTAAAGAGCCCGAGAGTTTAGGTGAAACTGACAAAGAAGACTGAGAAACAACAGCCAATGAGACAGGAAGAAAAACAGGGAAGGGTGGTATTCCAATGACAAGTGAAGAATGGATGACAAGGAGAACTGAGTGATCAACTGTATGAAATGCTGCTGATGGGTCAATTCAGATGGAAACTGAGACTTGATCACACGGTTTTTGCACACAAAGGTCATTGGGAACCTTGAAAGGGCAGTTTCCATAAAGTGATGGGAATGAAAGACCGATTAGGGTGGGTTTAAGAGAGAAGGGGGGAGAGAGGTGCCAGTATAGACAATTTTTTCAAGTTTTGTTCTAAAAGGAAGCAATTCTTGCCTTTATCTATTTGTTCAACTTTTTAATTAACTCCCTCCCGCTCTCTTAATCTTTTACTGAGGAACGTTCCTCCAAATCCAACAACAGTTTTCTTTTCATTTTTTGCCTTACTGCTTGACTAATGACTTTGACTGTAACCTCTCTGCTAAGTATTACTAATCTATATCTCTGATTTGAACCTCAGTCAAGATTTAATCCAGTATCTGCAACTTTCTAGGACAGATATCACAGCTGGATACTCCACCATCACCTCAACCTCAAGGTGTCCCATCTTAGACAAGGCAGCATGAGAGAAGAAGAACATTTTTTTTTAAGTTAAAAAAAAAAAAAAGGTCCCAGAATCGGCCTCACCTAAAGTTACTCCTCTTACCCTTATTTCTAACACCACCATTCCTCAGGCATATAATCTAAAATGCTTAGAGTCAAAAATTTTTGCTTTCTAACATTATTTTTACAATGATATTATAAATCATTCTATCATTCTACTCCTCCTCAGTTCCTGCAACTGGACTTTAGATCGTCATCCTTGGCCTAAATTAACCTTCTAACTACGATTCTTGTTTCCTATCTTTTTCACATATAGTCCTTCTTACATACTGCTGCCTGATTAATCTTTCTTAAAGACCCTGTCATCTGTTTTGGCCCCAAGGCATAATTGGGCAAAGTATCTCTTGGGTTTGAACCCAGTTTATACCCTGAAGCAGTGTGGTGCAGTAAGTACAGTACTGGACTCAGAATCAGGAAATCAGGTTTTGTGATTCAAATAGTTTAAAACAAAATAATTTATAGATAACCTAAAGAAAGCTTATAATAGCATATTGGCTGAGGAGAACTACGTATCTTGTCACCTTAATTTTTTTCTTTATTCTTTAAGTTATGACATATACACTAATTTTTTATGTTTATTTTATTATTTATATTTATTTTACCATTTATGTTTATATTCCCTTTGTAATTTTCTCTTTTATCTCTGATAATGCCACCATTACTGCAGGACATTAGAATAAATGAGGGTCTGAAGGTACAGGCTACTGGTTTATAAACTTGAACATTCCTTTTTTTATTTTTTGAGATGGAGTCTTGCTCTGTCATCCAGGCTGGAGAGCAGTGGCACAATCTTGACTCACTGCAACTTCCACCTCCTGGGTTCAAGTGATTCTCCTGCCTCAGCCTTCTGAGTAGCTGGGACTACACATGTGTGCCACCACAGCACCTGATTGATTTTTTGTATTGTTTGTAGAGATGGGGTTTCACCATGTTGGCCAGGCTGGTCTTGAACTCCTGACCTCAAGTAATCCTTCGGCCTTGGCTTCCCAAAGTGCTGGGATTACAGGCATGAGCCACCACGCCTCGCCAAACATTCCTTTTTGATCTAAGCTGAGAAGATAGGTAACTAGCAAAACATGTAGTAGGAATTTATTCCTTTCCTCTTCCTTTCTTTGTCTGAGTCTCTAATCTTTTAGCAGCACTTTTTCTCTCTTCTTAATCTCTACCAAGGAATACATATTTGTTCATTCATATTTAAGATAACCAACTACCAGCATAAAGTGACACATTCAAGTGGAAAAAGTAAGTTGTTAAATGCGATAACGGCCTTTGTTGAATTTAAAATATAGTTACTATGACTTCGTAAATAACTAAAAAAACCCTAAAGCTGATTTAAAACAAAAATTATCTATACTCTCGACTCATTGGTCCAGAAACTAAGGTCTGAAAATAATTATGAAAATTCATGATTACATGGAACCAGAAAAAAGCCCAATAGCCAAGGCAATTTTAAACAAAAAGAACAATGTTGGAGACATCACATTACCTGACTTCACGTTATACTGTAAGTTTATATTACCATGTATCTGCCATGTAACAAAAGTAGCATGGTACTGGTACAAAAACAGACACAAAGACCAATGGAACAGAATAGAGAACCCAGAAATAAAATGGCATACTTACAACCACCTGATTTTTGACAAAGACAACAAAACAAGCAATGGGGTGAGGACTCCCTATACATGATGCTGGATAGCTGGCTAGCCATATGCAGAAGAATGAAACTGGACCCCTACCTTTCAGCATATACAAAAATTAACTCAAGATGGATTAAAGACTTAAAATATAAGACCTCAAACTGTAAGAATCCTAGAAGAAAATCCAGGAAATACCACTTGGAGTATCAGCCTTGAAAAGAATGTATGACTAAGTCCTCAAAAGCAATCGCAACAAAAACAAAAATTTACAAGTGGGACCTAATTAAACTAAAGAGTTTCTGCTCGCTAAAAAAATTATCAACAGAGTAAACACAACTACAGAATGGGAGAAAATATTCGCAAACTGTGCATCTGACAAAGGTCTAATATCAAGAATCTATAAGGAACTTAATTCAACAAGCAAAAAACAAATAATGCCATTTAAAAATGGGCACAAGATGCTTGCTTCAGCAGCACATATACTAAAATTGGAATGGTACAGAGAAGATTAGCAAAATCTTAAGAAAATTTATATTTTAATTAAAAAATTAATTTTTAAAAAATGGGGAAAAAACATGAATAGATGCTTTGTAAAATAAGACATATCAGTGGACAAGAAACATATGAAAAAAATGTTCAACATCACTAATTATCAGAGAAATGCAAATCAAAACCACAAGACGATACCATCTCACACCGGTCAGAATGGCTGTCAAAAAATAACGGATGCTGGTGAGGCTGTAGAAAAAAGGGAATGCTTATAAACTCCTGGTAGGAATGTAAATTAGTTCAGCCACTGTAGAAAGTAGTTTGGAGATTTCTCAAAGAACTTAAAACAGAACTACCATTCGACCCAGCAATCCCATTGTTGGGTATATACCCCAGGGAAAATAAACCGTTCTTCCAAAAAGACACATACCCACATATATGAGTTGCATTTGCTATTCACAATAGCAAAGACATGGACTCAATCTAAGTGCTTATCAATGGTAGATAAGACTGATTGATTAACTGATTGATTTAGAGACTGAATCTTACTCTGTCGCCCAGGCTGGAGTGAAATGGGGCGATCTTGGCTCACTGCAACCTCTGGCCTCCCAAGTTCAAGCAACTCTTGTGCCTCACCATCACGAGTAGCTGGCTAATTTTTGTATTTTCAGTACAGATGGGGTTTCACCATATTGGCCAGGCTGGTCTCGAACTCCTGACCTCCAGTGATCCACCCACCCCAGCCTCTCAAGGTGCTGGGATTACAGGTGTGAGCCACAGTGCCCGGCCAGATTTTTAAAAATGTGGTATATATACACCACAGAATACACACTATGGAATACTATGCAGTCATAAAAAAGAATGAAATAACATCCTTTGCAGCAACATGGGTGGAACTGAAGGCCATTATGCTAAGTGAATGAATATAAGAACAGAAAACCAAATACTATATGGTTCTCACTTATAAGTGGGAGCTAAGCATTGGGGACACATGGTCATAAAAATGGGAATAACAGACACTGGGGGTTACTACAGATGGGGGAAGATAGGGAGGAGGGGGGAAGGGCTGAAAAACCACCTATTGGGTACTATGCTCACTGCCTGGGTGACAGGATCATTTGTACCCTAAACCTCAGTGTCACACAGTATATTCATGTAACAAACCTGTACATGTATCTCCTGAACCTAAAACAAATAAAGTTGAAATTATTTAAAAAAAGAAAAAGAAAATTCATGATCAAAATTGTCATTTTCTATTTTATGAGATGTCACAGAAAAATAATCATTGTAGTCTTAAAAGAAAAATATAAAAATATATTTTCTTTAAATTAATTGTCCATCAAAACAAGGAATACTAACCTTCTCTTGTATAGTTGGCTGAAAGTATTGCATCTTTCCAGATCCCTGTAAGGACTGCCAAATGTTGCAGAATTCATCATCATCTTTAGTAGGTACCTAGCAAAGTACAAACAATTTCTTGAGAAAATGAAATAGGAAGAAATAAAAATACATATTAAAAATCAAATAATTCATCTATTAATGTTATTCAGTGGTAGACAGGATATTAAACCTTTTTTTTTTGACTTGGGGTCTTACTCATGTGGGGTCTTGCTCATGTCGCCCAAGCTGGGGAGCTGTGGTGGGGTCATAGGTGATTGTAACCTCGAATTCCTGGGCTCAATCCTCAGCCTCCTGTGGAGCTAGGACTACAAGCGTGTACCATCATGCCCAACTATTTTTTTTTTTTCTTCTAGGGATGGGTTGCCATGTTTTGCTGTGTTGCCCAGGCTGGTGTTGAACTACTGCCTCAAGCAGTCCTCCTGCCTTAGCCTCCCAGAGTGTTGGGGTTACAGATGTGAGCTACCACGTCCACCCCTAAACTAACTTTCATTATGTGAAATCTCTTAGTTCCTTTTTTTCTAAAGCTCAGCATAGTAATCACAAAAGTATTCTATGAGAGTGAAACTGGTGTTCTTTATATGCAATTAGTTTTGAATGGTTTTATTTGTTGAAAAATATTTAAAGCATAACAAACACTATAAAAGATTATACTGAATCAATATCCCACCAATAGGTTTTTTGTCTTCTAATGTATTAAAATACATTCTCTCACTCAAATTGACACCTAAAGATTTTATTTTTAAAATCTTCACCTTACACAAAATAATCTAATAAATTTAAATATCAACTATTAAGATTAAAACTCTGGAAAAATAGGCACCAAATTTTGACAGTGGTAACCTATGAGATTTTAGAGGACTTTTGCTTGTGTTTCCTTTGTTATCATCTACTTATCTGTGTTTTCCAATTGGTTTATAATAAGCAGGTACTATTTGGGTTAAAAAAACGTACTTAATAAGCATGAGATTTGGGGTCATGGAATTAAATAAAGTGTCTCACACAAGACAACTCAATTTTTGTCCCCAGAAAGAGGAAATAAAGGAAATCACCCATAAATTGTATGGTAGAAACTTGAAAATTGCTTTTGATAAACGTGATATAATCCTTGCCCTTTATCTTTCAAATTTATGTTATTTATAGCAGATAGCATAGGACATTTGGATTATACAAGAAAAAAATTAAATGTTAACTTGAAATGTAAACATTTACAGAGAAAGCATGGACATTCTTAAGTTCCTTATTTAAATACACTTTTTTCCTTTAATACAACTGTTATTTTATAGCAGAGGTAGAATGCTAGCAATAGCATTCTTTATTAGCCTAGTATCTTAAATTTGGAATTGACCTGAGCCAAAACTTTTTAAATAAAAGAGGGAAACTAAGTTAAATTAGGTTTACATTTACAAAGTCTGCTGTGATTTGTGATTTGTAAAAGGGGTAGAGGAGAAGTTAAAGACTGAGAGTCTTACTTGAGTAGGAACAAAAAGTGATTGAGGGGAATGGTTGAGGGCTCCCAAATGCCCAGAGGAAACTGATGAACTTGAGCTATGTTGATGTACAGCTGGTTGTGGTTTTACGATGGCTGTCAACTTCTGATTTCCAGTTTCAGAGCGACTCCCATGAGAAAGGTTCACCAAGGCACTTGTTGGCAGTCGATAACCTCTACCAGGTGAGCATCTAAAAGTAAAAGTTATATCAGGGTTGGAAGGAAAACAATACTAAATGTGTTAGGGAGAAAAGTCAAATAATTTTTGGTGGACAATCCATCATCAGCATTAGTAAATATTACTTTTTAATTCGGTAGAGGAACCTCAAATCACAGCAATAGCTCAATTTATAAGATGATGTATTTCTAAAAACTTTCCTAAGAGCATATTTAGTATTTACTAAGTAGAGAAAACCCAACTATGTTCTAGGGGTGTGTGTCGATTTGTCGTTAAGAAGCTTGCATCTTAATTGCTGAATACAACTGAAAATTTATGAATTAATTTTTTTTTTTTGAGAGATGAGATCTCACTGTTACTCAGGATGGAGTGCAATGGTGCTATATCCTAACTCACTGCAGTTTCGAACTCCTGGGCTCAAGCAGTCTTCCCATCTCAGCCTCCTGAGTAACTAAGACCACAGGTGCAAGGCACCACAACTGGCATGCTTTTTTATTTTTTCTTAGAGACAGGGTCTCACTATGTTGCCCAGGCTGGTTTTGAACTCCTGGGCTCAAATGACCCTCCATCCTTAGCCTCCCAAAGTGTTGGGATTACAGGCATGAGCCACCATGCCTGGCCTCGAACGTCTTAAAAACTGTGGAGCGGGCATGGTGGTTCATGCCTGTAATCCCAGCCACAGCACTTGGGAGGCCGAGGCAGGTCGATCACTTGAGGTCAGAAGTTCAAGACCAGCCTGGCAAACATGTTGAAACTCTGTCTCTATTAAAAATACAAAAAAATTAGCCAGACATGGTGGCACACACCTGTAATCCCAGCTACCCGGGAGGCTGAGGCAGGAGAATTGCTTGAACCTGGGAGATGCAGGCTGCAGTGAGCCAAGATTGCACCACTGCACTCCAGAATGGGCAACAGTGTGAGAATCTGTCTCAAAAAACAAAATACAACAACAAAAACAAAAACAAAAACAAAAAAACGAAAACTATGGTTTGGGCAGTCTAGGTTATGAAAGCTCAGGAGCATGGAACCATTCTCAGTATAGCTCTTCCTAAGCAACAGGGTAAATGTCAGCTTTGATCTCATTTGTCTATCGGTCAAATGTGGAGTCCAGCCCTTTTTTCCCTCATTTTCCCATCTTAAAGTTCTGGGCCTGTACCTGGAAAGGCTTAAGAGACAAGTATTTGTGATTTCCATCTTTCATGGCTTTGATAAACGTGTCAGATATTAAAGAATCCTTCTCTTGTTAAGTTTTCAACTCTATCACCTATTTTTTTTCTCTTTGAGAGTATAATTTTCTTATATTGAAAGAAAGTGGAAAAGTAGATTTCTATGAGAAACCTTTGTAAGTTCAAGGTTGCTAGGAAGTATCTATTTTCATGAGAACTAAACTTACTAAAGATTCTGTATTACAGAAATGAATACACTGCAGGCAGGTAATCTTTTACCCAGCTCTCTATCAGTCAGTAAATTCACTGTCCCTTACTAGGAGAGGGGGGAAAAAACCACAAAAATATACTTAAAATATATTTTGGAAAGTTAGTGAATCAAAGGTATTGGTAATCAAACACTTTCATGAAAAATAAAATCAGACAGGAGATCCGGATTCTGCTGCTGTATGTGAAGAGTGTAGACCGGAAAAGTCTTTGAATAACAAGCATATTTAAGTTGCAAAACAATAATAATAGCATCCTGAAGGTGACTACTTGGTATAACAGCCAAAGACTGTGAGTTCATGTAAGGAGGTTAAAAAAGGGTAATTAATTTTTTATTTTAATTACTCACTTATCAAAATAGAGGAAAAAAGGAAACTAAGCTAAATTCAGTTCAGTTTTCCAGCTGATTTTTAGAAAGCAGAAAACTGGAAAGGATTTCATCTCATCCTCACAATAACCTAGGGAAGTATGTATATATCTTCATTATAGATGAGGAAATTGAGGGTCAGACACTTAATTAACCTACCCAAGGAAATACAACGTTTAACTGCAAGTTTACACCATGGTGCCTCTCATTTTATCATGATACTTGTTCCTATAACTTTAAACTTTCTATTGGCACTTTCCCCCAAAACACTTGTCTTATCTGTGTTAAATTAAAAACAATTTAACCCTCTTCCTTTAAACCTCCTAACCTCCAGTTAACTTTCTCCTTTCCTTTATAGTCAAACTTCCCAAGTGTTGCCTCAATTTCCTGTCTCCATTACTACACCTGCCATTCACTTGTCAAATCATGCCAATCTGTCGTGAGTACCTACAACTCCACTAAAATTGGTGACAAAGACATACATGTCACTAATTTCAAAGGACATTTCTATTCCTCAAGTTATTTAACCCTAATAGCATTGTTTACATATGCTATTCCCTCTTCCTGTGCAAATGTCATTATTCCCCCCTTTTCTCCCTGGTTAGCTATTATTCATTCTTCAAGTTCTATCTTAAATACCACTTCCTCAAAGAGGCCTTTCTGTTACTCTCAGGATGGGTCATACTCTTTATAAAAACCTGCACTTCTTCCTAGCACTTGCCATGCTTTAATTAAATAATTAATAATGTAATCGGTTGCTTAATTACCTCCCTCACTAAAATGAAAGCTCTCTGAGGGTAGAAAGCATGTCTGCCTTATTCAGTGTTACATCCCTAGTAGCAAGTACGTCTTACACATCCCACAAACTGAAATTGTAAACAAATAAAAAGTAATGTAAAGTCACTGGCCACATGAACATATTCACAAAGGGCAATTATCATTGGGAAATACAAACCTTATTGTTAACCCTCCAGGAAATTCTTCATCAAATAATACTTCAAATAGTACATCGGCTTCTCTATTAGCTGTTACAATAGGGAGAGAAAAAGAGACACTAAAAAATCATATGATGAAAAATCAACAGATAAGTTTTTGGAGTGTTTGGAAGTATTTATTATAAAATTCTAGATATGATATAAAATATTCAGGATATGAACAATGGCATAATATTAATATAAGGAACATTATATAAGCTAAGAAACAGAATACCAGTGCCTTAGAGGATCATTATTGTCCCAATTCCCAACTAGGTAACATTATCTTCAATTTGGCAGTTATGATTCCTTATGTTTCTTTATACTTCTACTACATACATATGTATCTATGAATAATACATAGTATTGTTTTGCAAGTTTTGAAACATATACATGATATCATAGAGAATATATTATTTTGCAACTTATTTTTCTTTCAACATTATATTTGTGAGATTCACCCACGTAAACATGTGCATTCAGTTTTCTGGATATATAGTATCCCATCTATGGGTATACAATAATTTATCCACTCTCCTGCCAATAAACATTTAGGTGATTTCTAACTTTTGCTATTATAAACAATGCTACAATGAACATGCAAATGTGTCCTTTATGCAGGTGAATGTTCCCTAGGTTAAAAGTGAAAACTGCTGAGTCTTAGGGCATGTACTTTTTTAAAAAAAAAAAACAGTCTTACTGGGCTGGGTGCAGTGGCTCACGCCTGTAATCCCAGCACTTTGGGAGGCCGAGGCAGGTGGATCACGAGGTCAGGAGATCAAGACCATCCTGGCTAACACAGTGAAACCCCGTCTCTACTAAAAATAAAAAATAAAAAAAAAAATTAGCCAGGCATGGTGGCAGGCGCCTGTTGTCCCAGCTAGTTGGGAGGCTGAGGCAGGAGAATGGCATGAACTCGGGAGGTGGAGCTTGCAGTGAGCTTAGACTGCATCACTGCACTCCAGCCTGGGCGACAGAGCGAGACTCCGTCTCAAAAAAAAAAAAAAAAACCAAACAACAACAAAACAGCCTTACTGAGGTATAACTGACATATGATACACTGCACATATCTGAAATATACAAGTTAATGAGTTTTAACATACATAATTAACCATAAAGCCATGATAAATAGGATAATCACTTCCAAAACTTTCCATGTCCTTTTGTAATCCGAATCCTCCTAATCTAGGCAACTAAAACTCTGCTGTCACCATAGGTTACTTTACATTTGTAGAATTTTATGTAAATGAAATAATATAATGTGTATTCCTCGTTTGTCTGGCTTCTTCGAGCATAATTATTTTGAGAGTCACCTATGTTGTGTCTATCAGTAGTTGTTTCTTTTTTATAGCTGAGAAGTATTCCACTGCATATGTATCCAAGAATTTGTTTATCCATTCATCTGCTGATGGGGATTTAGATTATTTCTAGTTTTTGGTTATTACATACATATAAAGCTGCTATGAAGATTCATGAACAAGGCTTTATGTGGATTTAAGCCCTTATTTCTCTTGGGTAAATACCCACCTATGAATGGGATGGCTGGGCCCTATGCTATGATGTATGTTTAACTTTTTAAGGACTTACCTACATCATGATAGCCCACCAATGGGGGGAGAAAAAAAGAACCCACTAAACTACTTTCCAAAGTGGTTTTATCTTTTACATTACGACTGGCAATATAGGAGAGTTCTAGTTGCCCTATATCATTGTCAACACTTGGTATAATCACTCTTTTAAATTCAAGTCTTTCTAGTCTGTATGTGGTAATATCTTATTTGGTTTTAATTTGTATTTCCCTAACAACGAATGATGTTGAGCATCTTTTCATATGCTTATTTGCCATCCATGTATCTTCTGGGGTAAAATATCTGTTCAGCTATTTTGATCATTTTAAAAATTGGGTTAAGTTGTAAAAAAACTTTTATATAGTCTAAATAAAAGCATTTTGTTGGATTTATGTTTTGCTAATATTTGCCTTTTCATTTCTGTAATGGTGTCTTTTGAAGAGAGTTTTTTTTTTTTTTAATTTCGATGAAGTCTAAAGTAGCAATTTTCTCTTTGTTTCTTTTCTTTTTCTCTCTTTTTTTTTTTTTTTTTTTTTTTGAGACAGAGTCTTGCTCTGTTGCCCAGGCTGGAGTGCAGTGGTGTGATCTCAGCTCAGTGCAACCTCCACCTCCTGTGTTCAAGAGATTCTCCTGCCTCAGCCTCCTGAGTAGCTGGGATTACAGGTGCCGGCCACCATTCCTGGCTAATTTTTGTATATATATTTTTTGAGATGGAGTCTCGATCTGTCGCCCAGGCTAAAGTGCAGTGGCATGATCTCGGCTCACTGCAACCTCTGCCTCCCAGGTTCAAGTGATTCTTCCGCCTCAGCCTCCCAAGTAGCTGGGATTACAGGCATGCACCACCATGCCTGGCTAATTTTTGTATTTTTAGTAGAGACAGAGTTTCACCATATTGGCCAGGCTAATCTCAAACTCCTAACCTTGTGAGCCGCCCGCCTTGGCTTCCCAAAGTGCTGGGATTACAGGCATGAGCTACTGCGCCCGTCTCTAATTTTTGTATTTTTAGTAGAGACGGGATTTCATCATGTTGGCCAGGCTGGTCTTGAACTCCTGACTTCAAGTGATCCACCCGCCTTGGCCTCCCAAAGTGTTGGGATTACAGGCATGAGTGCCCGGCCTTTTTTTCTTCGTCCCCCCTACCCCCGCCCCCACCCCCACCTCCATCCCTCCCCTGGCCTTTTTCTTTTTCTTTTCTTTTTCCTTCCCTCCCTCCTGCTCCGGCCTTTTCTTCTTTTCTTTTTCTCTCCCTCCCTTCTTTTCTTTCTTTCTTCCCTTCTTCTCCTCCTTCCCTCCCTCCCTCCCTTCCTTTCTTCCTTTTCTCTCTCTCTCTCTTTCTTTTTTTGACAGGGTCTCAGTCTGTCAACCAGGCAGGAGTGCAGTGGTGCAATCATGGCTCACTGCATCTCCGATCTCCTGGGCTCAAGTGATTCTCCCACCTCACCCTCCTGATTAGCTGGGAGTACAGGTGCACAACACTATGCCTGGCTAATTAAAAAAAATTTTTTTAGTAAAGACAGAGTTTCACGTTGTTACCCAGGCTGGTCTCAAACTCCCGGGCTCAAGCAATCCTCCCGCCTTGGCCTCCCAAAGTGTTGGGATTACAAGTGTGAGCCACGGCACCAGGCTGGCAATTTTCTTTCAGACTCTCTATGTGTTATTTAAGATATCGTTACCGAATTCTAGGTTATTAAGATTTTCTCCTAAAAGTTCTATAATTTTAGCTCTTACATTTATGTCTTCAATTCATTTTGAGCTAATTTCTATAGAAGATGTAAGGTAAGGAGTTGTGGATTTTTTTTTTTTGCATATGGTGTCTAATTGTTCCAACACCATTTTTTTTCTTTTACACTAAACAAGTCCTCAATATATACAGCACGATTTTTAAATTAAATTACATTTTTTTTCTTATTACTCACCACTATACTAACGGGGACAGCACCATTTGTTAAAGACATTATCCCTTCTTCATCAAATTATCCTGGCACATTGTTGTAAAATCAATTGACCATACAGGTTTGGGTCTATTTCGGGACTCTAATTATATTCCATTGATCTATATGTCATCTTCATATTAATTCACACCGTTTTTCAGTGCAAATTTTACTCTAGTTTGTAAAGTTTACTCTAGCTTTGTAAAGTTTACTCTAGCTTTGTAAAGTTTACTCTAGCTTTGTAAAGTTTACTCTAGCTTTGTAAAGTTTACTCTAGCTTTGTAAAGTTTACTCTAGCTTTGTAAATTTTACTCTAGCTTTGTAAAGTTTTGAAATCAGGTAGGGTAAATTCTCCAACTTTGTCCTTCTTTTTCAATTTTTTCTGGTTAGTCTAGAGCCTTTGCTTTTTAAATAAATTTTACAACCAGCTTATCAATTTCTACAAAACAGGCTGCTGGGATCTTGATTGGGATTTCTTTGACTGTATAAATCAAAGCAACTGATTTCACTGACATTTTAACAATAGTGAGTCTTCCAAAAAAGTAAACAAAAAAATTAGGGAAGAAAATTCTTTTAGTTATGTGGGCAGGAAGATTCAAAGAGGATCTACAAATGGAAAATGTACAGAACCACTGTTCAAATTTAGGTAGGAATCAGGGGAAGGAGTTCAAATCCCAGCTCTGCCACTTATCTATGTAAACACAGGAAGATTACTTAACTTATCAGGTGAGGAAATAACACCCACCCCTTGGGTGATAGTGAGGGTTAAATGCAAAATATGTTAGTGCCTGGCACATTGCTGGCACTAATTAAGCAGTTCTCTTCAGCTAGTGGCCCGTCTGTTCTTCCTACTTTTGGGATAGTGAGACCAAGAGGTTCGGTGCCTGGGATATATATAGAGGAATGGTGCTGCCAGCACACTGACTCCTGGGTGCATGATGCTGCTTCATGCTGGCACTAACTTTTTTTGAATCTATGCTATAAAGCTGGTTATTCCAGGAATATCTTTGGGGGCACATTCAGATATTTAGCTGCTGCTTCCTTATTTTCCCCCTTCTCTGATTTTTTTTTTCACCATCTTAGCCACTTTTAAGCGTATGGTACAGTAATGTGAACTGTATGCACACTGTTGTGCAACAGATTGATAGGTCTATTTTATATATGTAATTTAGTTGTATTCATAAAGTCCAAATTAATATACACATTTAATTTTCAAGTCTTTTAACTGTAACTAACGTAATATATATTTAATCTCAGAAACTAAGTGATTACAATGAAATTTAATCTCAGAAAATAAGTGATTACAATGAAAATAAAGCTCTGAGCAATGAAACTCAGGAGAAGCAATGAAAATTATCAGTTTCATGAAAACATATGTATGCTCACCAAGATCTTGCATAATTTTAATGTGATATAAAACTACTAAATTCTCAGCAGCCCCTTCTCAGTTTCTCCTTTTAATCTCTTTCCAGATTATACAATAAAAAACAGAAGAGATTTTTTTTTCTCTGAAAAGTATAACCTAAAAAAAATTTAACTAAAACATAAAAAGATTGTTTGTTCCTGATTTATAGTCACTTTCTGGTTAGATATAAAAAACAGACAAGCCTGTTTATTACTTTACAATATAAATTACGTTGAAGACATTTCAAGTATTAGGATATTACCTCCTTTTATTCCTATGATGGTGCCTCGAAGGCCAACTGGAACTGAGAAGTTTTCTCTCACATTTACAACACGGTCAAAAAGACAAAATTCTGCATCCCGATCAGGAATGACTCCATGTTGCTGTTCTAAAGGCTGAAGAGAAGAAAGCTATTAATTATAATAAACAAAAAAATTTTCATACTAATATACTGAAAACATCTTTGCTCCTTCCATGCATTCAAAGTGAAAGCAACAACTCTGAATTCTTTGATAGGAAACTTACTCTGTATAGCAAATGGGGTTTCACTGTTACTCGCACCTTCTTATTATTCTTTCTTTGCTGAGGAAAAAGAAAAATTGTTAAATATTTTTAAAATATAAAATTATAAAATCACTACCTACTCACTACTTCCACATGTCTGAATTTTAAAAAGCCAAATGAAGAGATTAATTTTTAAAATATTTAAAGTTCTGCAGCTGCAGCAAGAAGAAATAAACACATATAAAATGCCTATAGCCTAAATCATTATTTAAAAATTTTTTAAAGTAAAATTTTTTGCTGAAGTATAAGACAGCATGGGGAGGAAAATGCAAAATTATAAGTATATAGGCCAATGAACTTTTATAGTGTATCTATGTATAACTATACCTGGTTCAAGAAACAACATTGCTAAGCACAACACAAGAAATCCTTTCCATCTCCTCCCAGTTACTACCCTTTCCAGAAGTAACCTTACTTCTAACACAAAAGATTACATTTGTCTGTTTTGGCCTTTATATAAATGCTATCCTATTCAAATGTCTTTTTTATAACTATGAAAAGAATTACATACAATGGCCAACAAAGATGTATATATTTTTAAAAAGTATCAAGTACTGACCTATGACAATACCATGAATTTTGTGGCCACTTATAAAAATTATGGTGGCATTCATTTGACAAAACCCTTTGCTTTGAATTTATTGTAAAATGCGATATTAGAATCTTTTCATTATCTAAAAAATGCTGGAAGAAGACTTTTCTCCTATCTTTGATACTTGCTAGTTCTGTGAACTCACACTTAACTACTTTAGGCATCAGCCTCCTTCCATCTGTAAGATGGACATATTATCTGTTCTATCTAATAAAAAAGTGAGAAAAATTTATATCCTTTACAATTTATAAACTACTATTCATACTAAAAAAATTTAAAGTTAATTCTTATCGAATTTTAAAAATTACAGCAGTTTAATTATATGGCAGTCACCTCTCTTTAGAACATAGCTTATGGGAATATGTACAAAAGGACACAGAACAGATCCAGGCTATAGAATCCATAAACTATAGGGTTCATGTATTTACATACTATAAAATGCTCAAGCCTTTAAACAGTGTCTATTTTCTTTTGTTATGAGGCATTTCATTTATTCTTTCAATGAATATTTACTGAGATCCATTTGTATGCTGTATATTGATTAATCTAGGTGCTGGGGATAAAGCAGTGAACTGTTCTCTTACTCTAGTTGAGGGAGATATACAAGAAACAAAATAAGGAAGATATATAGCATGCTAGCAGGTAAAAAGCCTAGAGAAAAATGAAGCAGTTAAGGAGGACAGCAGTAGGGGGAGACATTACAATTTTAATAGAGTGAACAGTGAAGGCCTTAATGACAAAGTATCTATGCCCACAGCCGACTAGATGCACTAAAAGACTACAACAGCAAAAGGAAAGACTATGAAGAGATTTAAGGGAACTTTAAAAAGCAGGCACAGTGGGGTATTGCACATCAAAAAACAACCCATATGCTCTAAGACATTAACAGGCATTATTACACTATAGCATTGATTAGAGGACATGGATCAAAACTGATTCATCAGGCAAATGAATAAGCTGGGTAATGTTCATAATAGGCCCAACCCATATCTAATGTATGAGAAGTTTGGGGACTGGCTATTCAAAATATGATCACCTAAGAGCTTATTAGAAATGCAGAATTTTGGCCAGGTGAAGAGGCTTACGCCTGTAATCCCAGCACTTTGGGAGGCCGAGGCAGGTGGATCACCTGAAGTCAGGAGATCAAGACCAGCCTGACCAACATGGAGAAACCCTGTCTCTACTAAAAATACAAAATTAGCCGAGCATGGTGGTGCCTGCATGTAGTCCCAGCTACTCAGGAGGCTGAGGCAGAAGAATCGCTTGAACACAGGAGGCAGAGGTTGCAGTGAGTCGAGATTGCACCACTGCACTCCAGCCTGGGCAACAAGACTGAAACTCCGTCTCAAAAAAAAAAAGAAAGAAAGAAATGCCAGAATCTCAAGTCACACCCCAGACCTACTGAATGAGAACTATATTTTAACAAGATTCTCCGGTGATTTGTTTGTTACCTGAAAGTTTGAGAAGCACTGCTCTAGAGGAAGAACCCAGAATTTTATTCTAATTTTAACAATGAGGAAATAGAGGTATGGAAGGAAAGTTCTACCAGTAATTTTGATAATTAGCAGAGTTTGGAAACCATGTTCCAACAAGAAAACTGACTCTTTTTTTTTTATTTTTTTTGAGACAAGGTCTTCCTCTGTCACCCAGGCCAGAGTGCAGTAACGTGATCATAGCTCACTGCAGCCTCAAACTCCCTGGCTCAAGTAATTCTCCTGCCTTGGCCTCCCGAGTAGCCAGGACCACAGGCGTGTGCCACCATGCCTGTCTAATTTTTTTATTTTTTGTGGAGATGTTGCCCAGACTGGTCTCAAACTCCTAACCTCAAGTGATCCACCCTTCTCCCAAAGTGCTGGAATTACAGCTGTGAGTCACCGTGCCCAGCCAACTACTAATACTTTTAATGATGATCCTGCATTACTAAGAAAAGTTTAAATGATCTTCAGAATTACAGTGTTTTTTAGTTTTTTCTCCTTTTATTGCCCTAGTAACATAATCCTGAAAGAAAAAAAAAAATCACTCATAACTGCACCTCCCTGACAAATTAACAGGTTTAAGAAAACTCCTGTCTTATCTATATGCATATATGTATGATCATATATATGATTATATATAATACATATTAAATGATATGGAGTTAATATATTACATGTTTATATATAAATATGTATTTATATAAACATTTAATTTATAAACATATAAATTTAACACATATATATATAAAATGATATGGAGTCTTGCTCTGTTGCCCAGGCTGGAGTACAGTGGCACAGTCTCGGCTCACTGCAACCTCCGCTTCCCAGGCTCAAGTGATTCTCCTGCCTCAGCCTCCCGAGTAGCTGGGATTACAGGTACCCGCCACCACGCCTGGCTAATTTTTGTATTTTTATTAGAGACAGGGTTTCACCATGTTGGCCAGGCTGGTCTCGAACTCCTGACCTCAGGTGATCCACCCGCCTTGGCCTCCCAAAGTGCTGGGATTACAGGCGTGAGCCACTGCACTCAGCCTATATGCACATATATATTTTAAAATGTAATCAATATCACAGACTAAGACGTTGTATATGTATCTTCCATTTGTAAAGTAAAGGGAAAATGTGTGAAACATTTTAGAAAGCTCTGAATCCAAATGGGTTAAAATTGGGGGGCTTAAGGTTTTAAACATTTGTTAACTGGAAAACTCACCTCAAAAATGATGCTGAACAAACTGATTTCACTCTACATTGAAAGGCAATTAAAAAGAAATACAGGCTTTCTATCCTCAGCTGAAAATAAATGACCTTTCAAAAATTAAACTCTTGGCTCTGAGCCTTATATTTTTTCCTAAAGAGAAAAAGAGTCATCTAGTGGTGATTTTCTAGACTATAATCACAGCTCTTCAGTATGTGATAGGATAATTTAAATAATAATTAATAAAAACATCTAAGCATTATTAGGCATTAATAATAGCTAGGCATTATTAGAAGTAGTTTACGCAATATTAACTCAGTTTATCTTTTTGAGGACACTCTGAGGCAGGTACTATTTTATTCTAATTTTACCAATGAGGAAACAGAGGTATGGAAGGAAAGGTTAAGTATCTTGCCTAAGGTTATTAATATTGAAAAACCGATTCAAACTCAGGGTGTTAGGGGAGACAGCTCCAGAGCCCAGTTCTTAACTTATTCTGCAATTAGTTCGAACAAGAGAATGCTGTGTTGGCAAAGCAACAGCATTTTAATACAAAGGGCAAATTTGTGAAACATGAAATAAAAAGTTGAAAAAGGCAAAATAATCAATTCATTTTCTATAGATAAAACAACGCAACTCTACTATAAAAGTCTACTCCTTAAAAGAAAGCGAGACGTAAGAAATAGGAGAGATTGAGGGAGTTCAAAAATTTTTAGTAACTCAATGAGTGTATGAGTAAGAAAAGTACATTTTAGGCCAGGCACGGTGGCTCATGTCTGTAATCCCAGCACTTTGGGAGGCTGAGGCAGGTGGATCACCTGAGGTCAGAAGTTCAAGACCAGCCTGGCCAACAAGGCAAAACTCCGTCTCTACTAAAAAATATAAAAATTGGCTGGGCGAGGTGGCAGGTACCTGTAATCCCAGCTACATGGGAGGCTGAGGCAGAAGAATCGCTTGAATCTGGGAGGTGGAGGTTGCAGTGAGCCGAGATCATGCCACTTCACTCCAGCCTCGGTGACAGAGTGAGACTCTGTCTCCAAAATTAAAAAAAAAAAAAAAAACAAGAGTATATTTTAGAATTGACTGTCAAAAGTCAATTAAACTTTTTTGTTCTACAAAAAGATGAACTGTGTCTTTAAAGAATGTAGTTAGAGGCTGGGTGTGGTGACTCACCCCTGTAATCCCAGCACTTTGTGAGGCTGAGGCAGGCGGATCACCTGAGGTCAGGAGTTCAAGACCAGCCTGGCCAACATGGCGAAATGCCGTCTCTACTAAAAAATACAAAAATTAGCTGGGTATGGTGGCAGGCGCCTGTAATCCCAGCTACTCAGGAGGCTGAGGCAGGAGAATTGCTTCAATCTGGGAGGCGGAGGTTGCAGTGAGCCGAGATCCTGCCACTGCACTCCAGCCTGGGCAACAGAGAGAAACTCTGTCTCAAAGAAAAAAAAAAAAAAAAAGAATGTAGTTAGAACAGGAAGAAATAGGGGATTATTAACCTTATTCTCAAACTTTCTACTGTAACTAAAATCACAAAATATTAATTCTCAATATTGGAAACACTACAAGGGCATAAAATTTAAATACTATGGCTTTTGTATATTGAAAATATAATTTTATAAGTTTATAATTAGTTATGATGGCTAATGTAGCCATTAACATATTAGTGCTATACAATATAAATTTGGCATAACACTATTGGCTACTAAAAGCTACTATAAATGGTTAGAACTTTTTTAAATTACAGGATTATTTGATACTAATTAGAATCACTAAGTATATGTTTTATTTGGTTGAAACACAAATGAATTATTTGTAAAGTATAGTCCATTTAATTCCAAATCTCATCAATAATCTTGGTTACTGAAAGTTAGTACCTTGCACTTTTCGACTTCTTCCTCAATTTTCTCAACAATAGCTGCATCCAGAATTTGTAAATCACAAGAAGAACGAGATAAAGTACTGACAGGATGTCCTTTTAGCCAAGTAATAATTTCTTGAACTTTTTCAGCACTAAAGCAAAAACAATAATTTTTAAAATTTGATTAAAACTTTCTCAGGGCTATAAATTATAAAAGACATAAAACTTATATAACTAATAATTAGTCACTGAACTTAATCGGGACTAATTCTAAATCTAATATAAATATGGACATGTTACCTCTTAGTAATTAAAAGACACACAAAAAGATTAGTTTAAAAGTATTTGTTGATATAAATGAAAGAAAATTTGTTAAGCTCTTAAAGCAAAAATGAAACAATGCAAAAAAACAAAACAAAACAAAACAAAACAAAAAGAAGTAACAAGACACGCCTGTAATCCCAGCACTTTGGGAGGCCAAGGAGCATGGCCTGAGCCTAGGAGTCAAAAAAAAAAATTAGTCAAATGTGGAGGCGTACGCCTAATAGGCCCAGCTACTCAGGAGGCTGAGGTAGGAGGATTGTTTGAGTCCAGGGAACCAAGGCTAAAGTGAGCCACATTTGAGCCACTGCATTCGGGCAAGAGAGTAAGAACCTGTCTCAAAAAAAAAAAAAAAAAAGTAATATGAAATTCTTGAGAAACCAGCTGCAGTTGTCATTGAAAACACTGAATTGAACTATGAGGTAATAAATATCATAAATCTTGCTTACCCATTCTCATTTTCTCCAGGCCAAATGTCATCTTCATAGAACACATCCTCTTGGCTATTTTTGGCTATATAACTAAATAGTTCTGGAGCTCTGGTCAAACAAACAAAAATATTGTCTTAAAATATATATGGTTAATTTCGGATAAACTTCCTACATAATAATTTCAGATCCTAAAGAAACATATAAAGCTTATTGAGGACTACTATAATATTAATAAGGGATATTATTAAAAGTGATAGAAAGTGTAAGACTGGTAAGTCAGAGTACTCCTAGACCCTCAAAAAACTCCCACTGGCTAAGGTTCAAGTCATAAACTTATAATAAACTTCAATTACTGACTCTACTCTCTTTCATTAAAATGACAGCTGATAGACAAAAATGGTATCTATAGGTTAGTTTTCTAATTTTCACAACAAAACTAGAGCACTCCACAATACAACAAATTAAAATAGATTAAAAGCATCTTCTGATAATTTTCAAAACTCCATTTCTTTCTGAAGAGTGCAGGACTTTTCGATACATATAGCAAACTGAACGTATATGCTTATCTTCCATCCCTCTCCAATCCATTAAAATGACAATATAGTATAAAAAAGAGCACAGACCTAGAGAGACAGATGAAAAATGAAGCACGGTATCTGGTGGCATATATAACCTGTTAAAATTTTAGAAACTGGAAACTGGATGAATGAATATTATCTGATTTGACAGACAGGAATAAGTTGAATCTTGAACTACCAGTGGGGGAAGTCAATAAGAAGCAAGTTGATTTAAAACACAGAACACTCTGAAAAAGCTCAGGAATTATAGGTTCCAGGTACATTTGAAAGTGTGGGGTGAGGTTTAGTAAGATTTAAAGTTTGTATAACAAGCAGTTATACTGTCATGTGGTTGCCTGCCTACCACCCCAGCATATGACCTGTAGCGTATATTTTAGAGAGGTCAAATAGATACTCTAGCCTTGTGTATACCAGTCACGGACTTAGGGGTGAGGAAGGCATAAGGAGGAGAGGACAGGTGTTATACTGAAAACAGTGAATTAATGAAAGCATAAATACTATACAATGTGTCACTAGGAAGCATAAGGTCTCTAGAAATGGACTCTGGGATGGAGATAAGCATGCAGGTAGGGAGTGCTTGTTTGATCAACACCCGTGGAAGGGAAGGGAGAGGAAGAAAGCAGAATTGGGCACAGGAAGAGGATGGGCTGTGACCAATTCTCAATGAATTCCTTGAACAGCCCCACAAAGATCTCAAACTGGGATGGCCCTTCAGACTTGCCATGAATTGGGACAATCAGAATGTCTGGGTTTCTATACCTCCTTATAGATTGGGCATTGATTTGCGGCTGTTGTGGGAAGGGAAAGTAACCTTAGTTGAGGCAGTTCTCCTCATCCAGGCAATTACTAAAGAGGGCTCACAGCTGAGGGCTGCCGGAAAGCAGCATTCCTGCTGCAAGGGGATAGGTCTTTCAGTCTTGAAAAGTGGTCTGGGAGGTGTATCACAGTATCCACTTGGTAATGAAACCTTCTTTCCCTGGTTAACTTCCAGAATACTGGCAATCAGTTTAATCCACTACATTCATATCCACTGTCAAGGAAAAGGGTGGAGGCCACCTCTCCGGGAAAGAAAAGATAAACATGCAGGTAGTGATACTAGGAGGTCCTCTGTAGAAACAGGAAAGTCCCTCCTGATCCACCTGATAAACCCCACCTAAGTACACTAAATTTCCAATCAGCTATTTAGTGCCTCATTCTTAAATATAATTGGATATCAAAGATCATCAGACAAGAACAACAACAACAAAACTTTAACACTGCAAGAGAGACTAAATCAAACAGGAGGAAAAAAAGCAATTAGAGAAAACAGAAAACACAAAAAATAGAAGGATAAATCCTAGAATTATCTTCAGAGAAATAAATGAAGATATTCCATTCACTGTAAGAACAAGATGCTATATATAGCCAGAGAATAAGGACACACTTTTAGAAATTAAAATGATTAAATCAAATAGAAATTTTAAATGATAAACAATAAAGTTGAATGAATTTCCCAAAGTAGAACAGAAGTATAACAATATAGGAAATGGATGAGGAGAGATAAAACTAAAAGGATCAGTCCAGAAGGTTTAAGATTGAACTAAAAGGATTCCCAGAAATAGAAAGCAGGAAAAAAATAGTGAGGAGAAAATTATCAAAGAAATAATACAAGAAAGTTTCTCAGAATGGAAGGGCATCAGTTGCAAGCCTGAAAGAGCTGAACAGGAGAAGGGAAGAAAAAAGATCCATACCAAGGCACACATCCTTACATTATTAAAAAGCACCAGTAAAGGAAAGGTGCTAAAAAGATTTCAGAAAATGAAAATAGATCACATACAGAAATTCAGAATCAGAATGGCACAGGCTTTATCAACAGCAATATGGAAACGAAAGGAGAATGGAACAGTGGTTTCAAAATTCTGAGGGAAGGCCAGGTGTTGTGGCTCATACCTGTAATCCCAGCACTTTGGGAGGCCGAGGCAGGCAGATCACTTGAGGTCAGGGGTTTGAGACCAACGTGGTGAAACCCCATCTCTACTAAAAAAAATACAAAATTTAGCCGGGCATGGTGGCAGGTGCCTGTAATCCCAGCTACTCGGGAGGCTGAGGTAGGAGAATCACTTGAACTGGGGAGGCAGAGGTTGCAGTGAGCTGAGATCGTGCCACTGCACTCCAGCCTGGGTGACAGAGCGAGACTGACTCAAACAAAGCAAAACAAAAATAAAAACAAAATTCTGAGGGAAAATAATCTCCAATCTAGGATTCTACACCCAGGCAAACTATCGATCAAGTGCAGGAGAAGAATAAAGACATCTCCAGACATGCAAGTTTTCTCAGGAAGCTACTGGAGTAAGTGCTCCATCAAAATGGAGATATAAATCAGAAAGAGTGAGGCATGAAAGTCAGAAAAGGAAGGAATCCTATATGGCAGACTGGTGAAGAAAACTGAATTCCTAGGATGACAGTACCAGGAAACTGAATAATGAGAGCTGCACAACAGCCCTAGAGAGCAATCAGTTCAAACTGAAGCAGGAAGACACAGGTTTTAAAAGAAGTCTCCAAGAGAAAAATGGAACTGAGCAATCACCTGATCTGTCTGACCATAGTGTAAACAGCTATGACACAGAATTTGTTATGTGAACACAGATAAGAAGCAAATGAAAAAAACAGCAAACAAAAATGTGTACAAGAAATAAAATGTAATCTTAATACTCCATAAGGTCCAACTGTGAACATTTACTTCATCATAAGGAAGTAAACCTTTAATACAGATTTAATAAAAAATCTTCATAAAAGTTTAGTGAGAGGGGAAATATGTGTCTGAGGGAATCCAGAGTGGTGGAAGTCAAAGAAAGCTGAAGCTCAGGATAGGAAAGCCACTCACAGCAGAAAATCCATAAATATGTCAAGTTGAAAAATTAAGAAAAAGTAGTTTAAACATGACCTTTTAAAGAAATAAGAAAGTGAACAGAAGAAACAATCTAAATTTCCAGATGGTAATATGGGATTGAATTGTGTCCTGCCCCACTCAGAAGTTATCGAATGTGACTTTATTTGGAAATAGGGTTTTTAGTAGAGGCAGTCAAACAAAATGTGGTCATTAGCATGGACTCTGATCTGACTGGTGTTCTTACAAAAAGGGGAAATTAGGACACAGAGACAGACATACAGAGATGAAAGATGATGTGAGACACCCAGCGAGAACATCACATAAACACGGAGGATTGCAGGGATGCATTTACAAGCCAAAGAACATATAAGGCTATGAGAAGACAGAACAGAGATGCTTCCCTAGTGCCTTCAGAGGGACCATCATTGTCCTGCAATATCTCGATTTTGGACTTCTGGTCACCAGAACTGGTTGAGACAATAAATTTCTGTTGTTTAAGCCACCCAGTTCGTGGTACTTTGTTACAGGAGCTAGCCTAGGAAACTAATAAAGAGATCTTCAAATATAAGGTTAGAAACCAGTGGAATAATGGAAAGAACATTAAATTATGAATCAGATGTAAATATACTTCCTGTAAATCTTTGTCACTAGTAACTCAGTGAATCTTGGTACTTGGCTTTCTCACTTTTGGTATGAGTTGACTTGCTGATTTCCTAGATAATTTCAGCAATAAAATTCAATAATTCTAAGATAGTAACCTGTATAGCTACATAGTTCTAAGAATCAGAAAAAATCCACTATGCTAAGAGCTTTGTTTATCCATATCAGTTCTCTCAGTGCTGACATAGGTATGCAAGGTAGTGAACAATGTATGATAGTAAGTTAAGAAAAATTTTAACTAAAGAGGGCAATTTTCATTATATATTTTCTTTTTAATAATATGGTATTTTTCTACTCAATTTTAGCTAGTGCCTATGATATTCCATGATGCAAAATTAAGTTTACATGTAACATATGCCAGATTTTACTAATGGAAATATTTGTCCTCTAAAACTAATATCAGGAAGGCAAAATAAACAGTATTTTCCTAAGATTTTGGAATGACTACTAGTATCTTATTATGTACTTACCTCTCTAAGTACTCTGCCAGAAGTTGTTCTGCTGCAGATGAATACATCCATTCACTTCCAACTTTCTTAGTATATCCAGGTACCTCCTCATTTTTCTTGTTGAATTTGAGATTTAAACCCACATTTGCTTTATGGTCTCCATGAGGGCTGAATTTAAACCACACATGCGCACACGTGCACACACACACACACACACACACACACGAGTTTTAAAATGTCGTTCAAGGAACAAAAAGTTTTGCTTTCAATTCTTAGAAAAGCTCAGTTTTGATTATTCTTCTATATTTTAGTTATTATGGTTATTTCCAAAGTAGCAGTAATTGAAAAACTAGAAGAAAAGCTTCAAAACCCAAGTTAACAAAGCATGTAAATAAATTATGTAATTATAGAGGAAAATGAAATAACAAGATGCAAGGAAATATACTACTGAGGTTCACACACACCCTCTGATACCTTTTTTCAAGGTTCAATTTATTAGCTGCTAAAAAATAAGAACTGTCTTTTCCAACCACCTAAAACATGTGCCATTCAGATGAAAGATTACCATCAGAGAAATTTATGCACAATTTTAAGACAATCCAGAGCAATTAATAAGAAAATAAATACTGAAATATTAAGCATTTAATCTTTATCATTTAATTTTTCTGCCACTTTAAGTAAATTTCTCTAACATAAACTTACTTTCTCCTAGATCCTCTTCCAATAAAAATACTTCCTGTAAACCTTGAAACAAGGTATCCACTCACTCCAAGGCGACTGGCCAACACATATCCTGGGTTGTACTTTATAGAATATTTCTTTAAATATAAAAACAAAAAGGTCAATTATGGAAACACAAGTTTACATTAAATGTTATTTCTTTACCTTTAAAATCTGGAGATAATCAAGACATCACTAACCATTGGATTGTGGCAATATAAGGATTTTCACTTAGATCCATTTCCCCTTTTTTTTGAAAGGATCTGTAGGCAGAATTTTTCTGCTCCTCTCTCTTTCTCCTTAAAGGACAGAATTCCCAAGGATGGATAAAAGGGGGGAGGAAATATACAGTTTGTGAAACTGTCTTAAGAAATAAACTCTACTGTAAGTACTAAATGGCAAACTCCACAGGCAAGTTTTTTGTTTGTTTTTGTTTTCGTTTCTACTAATTTTCATATTCCAAGCAGGGCCTAGCAAAGTACTTGGGACAAAATGAGGCCTCAGTAATTATTACATTGAATTAAAAAATAGGTACATCATCAAAATCGTTGCTACTGAGAAAAACTAAAAGTGTCCTTCATATATGGATATAAGTAATATTCTTTTCCCCTAATATTTACTATCATATGAAAACATACAAGCATGTATAGACCCATAATTAATACAGTCAATGAAATGTAACCTTAATTTATATACTTAAGGGAAGAAAACATATTGTCACATTAAAAAAAAAAAAAGAAGTAACAGATCATATAATATTTAACCAGGAAGCAAATGATTCATGAATCCAATACTAACTAGGATAAACTACCATATACTCTTAACATCATGTACATAACAATAAAACATACTTAAGAACATAATCAGATTTAGCAATAATGTAATACAAATCAAGTATGCTTTCCAGAACAGTTCAAAGAATTAAGGTAGTAGGTCTCAAATATAAGTAGCAACACTTTTCTAACAAGCATTTGGAAACGTGTAGAGGCACATTTAATTACAATAACTGGCATGGGCTACTAGCACTTAATGCCCTTGAGCCAAAGATGCCAACTGTCCTGCCATATACAAAACAGTTTTATTTAATACATAACTGTCCTGCCCAAATTGCCAACAGTACTCCTTTTGAGAAATAATGGGTTTTGCTATAATTTAAGATTCATTAAAACCATCACAAACATCCTAGAAAATATAAAATAAGTAGCTGAGAATGTTGTGGTAAAAAAAGAAGTCAGCTTGAGTGAAAGTTAAACGTATGTAAAGAGAAAGAAACAACACTGTACACTATCATACAACAGGACAGGCTCTTCTAGATCTAGAAAAAGCCAGGGATGAAGGAACACAAGTTATTTAACCTTCACTGATTCCCAGTACAAAGCTCCAGCTACTTTATCTAAAGAGCCACTCTCCTGGTTTCATGACTGCTGTCTAAATTTGTTCTTCAAATGGCACCAGATGGTAAGATTTTAGGGATGACTGCCTTCCATACATAAAGTTTCCTCATGGGTGTGCTGATACATAATGCCTTAAATTCATTTCACAGGATATAAAGCTTTATATTTTACTATTAGTGGAAAAAAAAAGGCTAAGTAGCAATAGCTGGTTGATTGTGAATTAATTTTAGCTAAGTTAATTATCCAACCAATCAATAAGAACAAATGACAGATATCAGAACCTTCCCTCTGTTTTAACAGGAGAAAGGAAAGCCACTGGAAATTTTTGGTGAGAAAGTCCTAAAAAAGATGCTGTTAACTTAAATGCAATTTTCCAATATTCTTGAGGGTTGAGACTGTTCATTCTTAGCTGAGTGGATACATACAGCTTTTGCAGAAAGGCCATTTGTCACTTCCAACTAAAAATGCAGGTGCTGAATTGTTATGAAAGGTTTAACAGAAAACACAAAAAATAGAAGGATAAATCCTAGAATTATCTTCAGAGAAATAAATGAAGATATTCCATTCACTGTAAGAACAAGATGCTATATATAGCCAGAGAATAAGGACACACTTTTAGAAATTAAAATGATTAAATCAAATAGAAATTTTAAATGATAAACAATAAAGTTGAATGAATTTCCCAAAGTAGAACAGAAGTATAACAATATAGGAAATGGATGAGGAGAGATAAAACTAAGAAGATCAATCCAGAAGGTCTAAGATTGAACTAAAAGGATTCCCAGAAATAGAAAGCAGGAAAAAAATAGTGAGGAGAAAATTATCAAAGAAATAATACAAGAAAGTTTCTCAGAATGGAAGGGCATCAGTTGCAAGCCTGAAAGAGCTGAACAGGAGAAGGGAAGAAAAAAGATCCATACCAAGGCACACATCCTCACATTATTAAAAAGCACCAGTAAGGGAAAGGTGCTAAAAAGATTTCAGAAAATGAAAATAGATCACATACAGAAATTCAGAATCAGAATGGCACAGGATTTATCAACAACAATATGGAAACGAGAAGAGAATGGAACAGTGGTTTCAAAATTCTGAGGGAAGGCCAGGTGTTGTGGCTCACACCTGTAATCCCAGCACTTTGGGAGGCCGAGGCAGGCAGATCACTTGAGGTCAGGGGTTTGAGACCAACATGGTGAAACCCCATCTCTACTAAAAAAAAAAAAAAATACAAAATTTAGCCGGGCATGGTGGTGGGTGCCTGTAATCCCAGCTACTTGGGAGGCTGAGGCAGGAGAATCACTTGAACCAGGGAGGCAGAGGTTGCACTGAGCCAAGATCGTGCCACTGCACTCCAGCCTGGATGACAGAGCGAAACTCTGTCTCACAAAAAGAAAAAACCAAAACCAAAACCAAAACAAAATTCTGAGGGAAAATAATCTCTAATCTAGGATTCTACACCCAGGCAAACTATCAATCAAGTGTAGGAGAAGAATAAAGACATCTCCAGACATGCAAGTTTTCTCAGAAGCTACTGGAGTAAGTGCTCCATCAAAATGGAGATATAAATCAGAAAGAACGAGGCATGAGAGTCAGAAAATGAAGCTGGTTGATTGCGAATTAATTTTAGCTAATTATCCAACCAATCAATAAGAACAAATGACAGATATCAGAACCTTCCCTCTATTTTAACAAGAGAAAAGAACGCCAGTGGAATTTTTTGGTGAGAAGGTCCTGAAAAAGATGCTGTTAACTTAAATGCATTTTTCCAATATTCTTTAGGATTGAGACTGTTCATTCTTAGCTGAAGAGATACATACAGCCTTTGCAGAAAGGCCATTTGTCACTTGCAACTAAAAATGCAGGCTCTGAATTATTATGAAAGGTTTAAAACACCTAAATCTGTTCCCAGAGGGTGTGCTAATCAATGTGCCTCTTATAAGCTTGAACACAATAATCCATAACAATCACTATGGATTAATAACGGGATTTCAGTGATTTCCCCCCACAAAGATCTACATGAAGTTTTGAGCACAGATTCCACACTTATTTTTAAATACCAGATGCAACTGGGAGAGAGAATCTAATCATTATTAAATAAAATATCTGAAATAAATTCAAAGGAGGTGGCAAAAATATCCTAATATTTTAAAAGTTTATCAATTCTAAATGAAACAATACAAACTACTGTACTCACATGCTGGTTCTGTATTAAAGCATCAAGATTGGGTTCACATGGAATGCTGAAAATCACACGAATCCTACCTTCTGTAATCACATCACCTGAATCCTGAACCTTAGAAGAAAAAAAAATCACAGTATAGTCTCTTTCAGTACATTTTATTTTTTAACTTATTTGAACACTATTATTTTTGAAATACAGTATGACAAGTTGGATAGTGGAAATTCTCTTGAAATTTGTTAAGTGGGTATGAAAATACTGTAAATTTGAGTCACTGTATCGTTGCTTTAATGGTTAACTTCTTTTGAGACAGGATCTATAATACTATAAATTTGAGTCACTGTATCATTGCTTTAATGGTTGTTAATTTGTTTTTTCTTGTTTTCTTTTTGACAGGATCTCATTCTGTCAGACGAGATCAGGTGCGTTCAGGGTGGTATGGCCGTAGACAGGATCTCGCTCTGTCATTCAGGCTAAAGTGGTGGGATCACAGCTCACTGCAACCTTGAACTCTTGGGCTCAAGTAATCTTCCTGCCTTGGTCTCCCCAAAGTGGTAAGATAATAGGTGTAAGCCACTGCACCTGGACAATCATTTTTTTTTTTGGCAACAGGGTCTTGCTCTGTCATCTAGGCTGGAGTGTAGTGGCACTATCATGGCTTGCCGACTTGCTGCACTTGCCTTCCTGGGCTCAAACAATCTTCCCACCTCAGCCTCTCAAGCAGCTGGAGCTACAGGTATGCACCACTAAGCTCAATTATTTGCAGAGATGGGATTTTGCCATGTTGCCCAGGCTGGTCTCAAACTCCTGTGCTCAACCAATTTCCCCACGCCCGCCTTGGCCTCTCAATGTGCTGGGATTACAGGTGTGTGCCACTGTGCTTGGCCCAATCATTCTTTTTTAAATTAACTTTTTATTTGCAAATAATTTCAAAGTACCAAAAAGTTGCAAAAAAAAAAAAAAGTGGAGGTTGCAGTGAGCCCAGATCATGCCACTGCATTCTATCCTGGGTAATAGAGCGAGACTCTGTCTCCAAAAAAAAAAAGAAAGAAAGAAAAGAAAAAAAATTTATCCAGATTCACCTGTTGTTAGCATTGTAAAACAAATGCCTTTAACTTTTGTGTACTATGTGTGTATTTACTTATACATAGTTATCTTTCTGAACCCCTTGAGTATATATTACATACATCATGTCCCTGACCTCAATATTTCAGTGTGTATTTCCTAAGATAGATATTTTACTATATAATCACAGTACAGTTATTAAGTATATAAATTTACATTGACATAATACTTTCATCTAAGCTACCATCTATATTCCAATTTTGTCAGTTGACCAAATAATGTCCTTTATAGAACTATTTTCTTCCTTTATTACAAGATCCAGATTAGGATCAGATATTGCATTTAATTGTCATATCTCTTTAGCATCCTTTAATCTAAAATGTATCCACTGCCTTTTTTTGTTTTTATAACACTGACCTTTTAAGTTATTGCTTTTTTTTTTTTTTTTTTTTTTAAGATAGAGTCTCACTGTGTCATCAAGGCTGGAGTGCAGTGGTATGATCTTGGTTCACCACAACCTCTGTCTCCCAGGTTCAAGCAATTCTTATTCTCAGCCTCCCAAGTAGCTGAGATTACATGCATATGCCACCATACCCAGCTAATTTTTATAATTTTAGCAGAGATGAGGTTTCGCTGTGTTGGCCAGCCTGGTCTCGAACTCCTGGCCTCAAGTGATTGCCTATCTTGGCCTCCCAAAGTGCTGGGATTACAGGAGTGAGCCACCATACCCAGCCAACATTGACATTTTGAAGAATATATAATTTGTCCCTCCCTCTCCAACCTGCCTTTTAAAAACAAAACAAAACAAAAAAACAGTTCCTTATTTTGGGTTTGTTTGATGCTTCCACATAATTAGGTTATGGTAGTACATTCACAGCCAGAATACTGCATAGGTGATGTGTCCTCCAAAGGGTATTACATCTGGAGGTACACAATGTTCATCTGTCCTTTAATGCGATGCTAACTTTGATTATACCATTAATATGTTGCTCAATTTTTTTCCTGCATAATTACAGTTTTCGTTTCCCTTGCAGCTAATAAATAATCTGTAGGAGATACATTCTAAGACCATGCAAATATCCTGCTCCTGATTTAAAAAAAAAATGCCCCCTAGATTTAGTTCCCAAAGATGATTCTTACATGATTCAATCTTTATCATAATGGTTGCACAATGGTTTTTCAACTGCAGCACTCTCTCCAAATTTACTTCTTACATGCTACTACAGACAAGAGACCTTCCTTTCCCTATTTATCTTTTTACTGTCACTACGGAATCATGAATTCCTGTTTTCCCCCCAGTGGTTTATAATTAACTACTGAATTTAATTATTTTGTCACTCAAAGTATCCAAGATTTGGGCAGTGGTAGTACCCTCAACCTGGTTCCTGTGTTTACATGACATACTCCCACCATTCTTCTGAGCACCTCCTTACTTTCTGACATAACAAGATGTTCCAGGTTCATCTTGTATCTTCCCTGCCCCAGATCCAGAATCAGCAATTTCTCTGAGAAGCCCTGTTCCTTTTAGTGAGTTATGAAATTAGACGTCAAGATCTGGGTGGTACATGTGCTCATTGTGCTAAGGTGTCTTTGCTTCTTATTCCTTTCAGCAAATAGAGCTAGAAACATATGCATACGTGTATATATATATACACATATATATGTGCCTATATACACAGATATACAAACATATATACATATTTTAGAAACCAAGAGTTCACACTAATACTTCCAAATCTGTCCCTATAGGTTCTTTCTTGCTTTCTCTCCTTCCATATTTGCATGTACCTTTTTCCATTTAAGAACCAAAGTTCCTCAAATATGAACGCATTTACAAATTCACTCAAGCCTATTACATGTCTAAAATAGTTACAAAATCGTTTCATCCATACCACTACAATAAACAAAACTGCTAAAAAAAAAGAGATCAGGATTTGAACACACCACCTCTTGATCCTAATCTGCTCAAGACTAAAAGTATATGGTCTTTAGTCTTAGATATATAGTATTTAGATATATAAGTCAAACACTGTGTTCATAAGTTACATGGATAAATTCTTTATTTTTTCCCTTCATTATTATATTTTAATTTAAACCTAAATGAAGAGAAGTTAAGTAACTGCTTTAAACTAGAGAAAAATGTATCAGTAACAATAATGGAAACTAACTTCTCCAGTGCAGCCATAATAGGGAGTTCCCAGCATAAAGACCATACTTCTCAGAGGAAACAAATCATCCAATGTTTTGATATTGGAGAAACGGGAGTCGAAAGCTCGGATGTCCTACATAAAATAAAAGTAAATAATCTTAGTCATAATTTCTATAGATTGCGTATCAAGTTTTTTTCCTATGGGATTATGACTATGCTGTTTGCAAATGTCAATGTGAAGATTTTTCTACATAATGCCAAGAGCTAAAATTTGTTGACTGGTTATATGGCAGGCACCCTTCTATGTGCTTCACACATTTATTGAGTTCATTTAATCCTCATGACAAACCTCTGTGGCAGAGACCATTATTAGCCTCACTTTACAGATGACAAAACTGGGGCACAGAAAGGGGATGAATCTTGTCCAAGGTCATGCAGCTAAGAAGCCAACTCAGGCAGCCAGTGTTCTTAAGTCACTTAATCACTACACTGTACTATAACACCCCAAATTACAGGATCGCTACATACTTAAAAAAATTTTTGTCCTCTTATCGTATCTAAGATTATAAATGCAAAAATAAAATGCCTTTTACATTTATAAGATTTAAGGCAAACATTTTTGAAGAATAAAAATATAAAATTCAAGGGTGTAAGTTAATGGTGGGATTTTTTCTTTTAGAGTCTAAGTCCTTAAAAAAAACCATAAAAGGCTGGGCGCAGTGGCTCACGCCTGTAATCTCAGCACTTTGGGAGGCCGAGGTGGGTGGATCACGAGGTCAGGAGATTGAGACCATCCTGGCTAACATGGTGAAACCCCATCTCCACTAAAAAATACCAAAAAATTAGCCAGGTGTGCTGGCGGGCACCTGTAGTCCCAGCTACTCGGGAAGCTGTGGCAGGAGAATGGCGTGAACCCAGAAGGCGGAGCCTGCAGTGAGCCGAGATGGCGCCACTGCACTCCAGCCCGGGCAACAGAGCGAGACTCTGTCTCAAAAAAAAAAAAAGAAAAAAAAAAAAGCATACGAAAGCATAAAAGACAAGTTTCCTAACTATATATACTGAGTGTCTGAGCATGTAATACTTCTTACAAATAATAAGTTATTTTGTAAATTATATTAAATGATAATCTCTATTATACATTGCTGAATTAGTCTATTTATATTAACATATCTTTTCATTATACAGTGAATAGTGTATTAATAGTGTATATTAAGACAGAATTGAAACTTGATATAGACTTACCTTGACAATAGTTTGATAAACAAAAGGAACAACTTGTTTTGACCACTGTTTCTCTAGACGAACTTCACCATTTTGATTTATTTGATATTTACGACCTGTGAGTAACTGAGCATACACAACTGCAGATGTTTCATTTATTATTATTCCTTTTCTTCTCAGGTAGCTAAAATAAAGAATAAACATGAAATATACATATGAATGAGTATGCAGATATTCTAGGACGATAATCGTCAACTATCGTAAACTATCAACTCATAATCAAGTGTGTAAATAAACTTTAAATAAATACGCTAGCAGTTCCAGGTACCTAACTTGAGACTTTTTGCATTATTTATTTTACTCTGTGGGTACTTCTCCAACTGTCTCTGTGATTAAATAAGAACTCATAGAGCTATACAAAACTCCTGTTCTCACATCCACTAGGATCGTTATAATTAAAAAACAGGGAAAAAAATAAGTTTTGGTGATGACATGGAAAAACTGGAACATCTGTACATTACTGGTGGGACTGTAAAATGGTGCAGCTGTTGTGGAAAACGGTTTGGCAGTTCCTCAAAAAGCAACATATAATTAACACATGACCCAACAATTCTAAGCATTCCAACCCCCCCGGATTGGAAACAGGTACTCAAACAAATATTGATACACAAATGATCATAGCACCACTATTCAAATAGCCAAAAGGTAGAAACAATCCAAATGTTCATAAATGAACAAATGGATAAACAAACAGTGGCATATCCATACAATGGAATATTATTCAGCCATAAAGAGGAATAAGCACTGACACATGCTACAATGTGTATGAACTTCGAAAGCATGCTAAATGAAAGAAGCCTGATACAAAAGGCCATATATCATATGATTCCATTTATATGAAACATCTAAAATAGGTAAATCCATGAAGACAGAAAATAGATTGGGGGTTGCCAGGAGTATGTGATGGCTTTTCCAATCTAAAGTAATTCAGACAGCCTCCTAGTTTTTTAGATAAAAGTTTACTGGAACATAGTTATCCATTTACTTCCTGTCTATGGCTGCTTTTGCGCTACATGGTAAAGTTGAGTAGTTGTGACAGACATTGTAAAGTCTACAAAGCCTAAAATATTTACTATTTGCCCTTTACAGAAGAAGTTTGCTGACCTTTCATCTAAATATATAATCATTCTTCATTTAAGGAATACTTTCTTATCTCCTTTCCATTTTCTCTTTCTAGAACTCCTAATAGATAGATATTAAAATTCTGATATTATTTTCATCTCTTTGTGCTTTTGTACTGCTTACTGAAGGAATTCCTAAGGTTGATCATTTAGCTCACTGATTCAATTTTTAGTATGCCCGTATTACTACTCAGTCCATCTACCGAGCTCACTTTACCAATCACACTTTAAAAGTTTTGTTTATACAAATATGTCATAAAAATAGTATATAATATAGACTATATAAATAGCATATAATATAGTATATAATTATATAACACGTTATATATTTTTTCACATCAGCTTATACTTTAATAATGTTGTCTATGGCAAAGTTGGTCTGAAAAAAGTCATGTCACCTTAGCCAGAAACAAAAGTTTTCCAACAAATTTTTGAAACACACCATTTTCTAAAAATTTATTAGAATTTTTTTCTACCACTTTCACTTAAAAGTCATTTAGCCAGTAATCTTGATATCAACAGCTGACCAGGACATTTCAGGAAATCTTTATAATTATGGGCCAGTATTTCTCATGAAAGTAGATGCAAAAATCTTAAAACAAACTTAAACAGATAAAATCCAATTATGTATAAAAGGATAATATATCATAAATAAATGGGATTTATTCCAGAAATTTAGGGGTAGATTAATATTGGAAATTCAATCAATGCAATTCATCAGATTAACAGGATAAAAATAATATAATCAGTTTGACAGCTGCGGAAAAAACATTTTACAAATCAGCACCAATTAATGATAAAAACTCTTAATCAGAATAGAAGGAAATTTCCTTAACCTGATAAAGAACAGTAATTAAAAACAAGCTACAGTGATAATTTTATTTAAAGATAAATTACTTAGTTTTCCCCTGAAATTGAGAATGACACAATAAGCCAGTAAGAAAACTATAAAGTAATGAGAAAAAGATAATCAACCCAATTTTAAAAAGGGCAACAGACTTGAACAGGCATTTCACAAAAGAGTATGCATATTCAAATGGCCAACAAACACGAAAGGATGTTCAATTTTATTAGTCATCAGGGAAATGCAAATTAAAGCAAAATGAGATACTACTACTATACCAAAATGGCTAAAATGAAAAAGCAATAGTAAGTACTTATGAAAACAGAAATCAACATAAGTTCTTATAAACTGCTGGTAGAGCGTAAATTGATACAAAGAGTTTGCAAACCTTTTTGGTAGTATCTGTTCAAGCTGAATGTAGGCATATGCTATGAAGCAGTAATTCTACTCTTAGATATATACCCAAAAGGAATGCATAGACATATACCCAAAAGGAATGCATATATACACGTTCACCAAGAGCCCCAAATGAGAAACAACTCAAATATCCATCCACTGTAGAATGGAAAAATTGTGCTGTATTCATACAATGTAATAGTATCATTAGTGAAAATGAACAAACTATGATTACATGTAACAATATGGATATTAGAATCACAATACTGACCAAAAGAAATCAGGCTCAAGAAGAATACACTCTGTGTGAATGAACTTATACTGCATAAAGTTCAAAAATAGAAAACACAAATGTATGTGGTTACAAGTCAAAATGGTTATCCTCGTCACTGGGGGTGGGGAGGGAGCAGCGGATGGTAATGGATAAAAGGGTGTACAAGGGACTTCCTTGGATTATGGTAATATTCCTGTTATTGTTTCTTGACTTGTATTCTTGTTCCACATGTGAAAATTCATCAAGTAATATACTTATGATTAATACACCTATAATTCGCAAGTATTTTTTGCTCCATATGTATACAGCCATTCTTTGGGAGACATTTCAGGTTCAGTTCCAGACCACCACAATAAAGTGAGTCACATGAATTTTTCTGTTTCCCAGTACATACCAAAGTTATGTTTACACTGAGTCTATTAAGTGTATAATAGCATTATGTCTTTAAAAAATGTATATATCTACTATGGTTTGGATATAGTTTGTTTGACTTCACCAAGTCTCACGTTGAAATCCAATCCCTAATGTTGGAGATGGAGCCTGGTGAGAGATGTCTGGGTCATGGGGTGGATCCTTCATAAATGGCTTGCTGCTGTCTTCCTTGCAATGAGGAGGATACGGGGGTTTATCACTCTACTAGTTCCCATGAGAACTGACTGTTAAAAAGAACCTGGCACCTCCCTCCCTACCCCTCTCTTGCTTCTTTTCTTGCCATGTGATCTGTACACGCCTGTTCCTCTTTGTCTTCTGCTATGAGTGGAAGCTTCCTAAGGCCCTTACCAGAAACATATGCTGATGCCATACTTCTTGTGCAGTCTGCAGAACTTTGAGCCAAACATACCTCTTTTCTTTATAAATTACCCAGCCTCAGACTGGGCTAAGACAATACTTTCATTTTCAAATACAGCTGACACTTGAAAAACACAGGTTTGAATGACATAGGTCCACTTACATGCAGATTTTCCTCCTCCTCTAACACCTCCAAGACAGCAGATGAACCCCTCCTCTGCCTACTCAACATGAAGACGAAGATGAAAACTGTTATGATCAACCACTACCACTTAATTAATAGTAAATATATTTCTCTTATGATTTTATAATAACATTTTCTTCTATCTTACTTTATTGTAAGAACACACTATATAATACATATACAAAATATGCGTTATCAACTACTTATGTTATCGGCAAGTCTTCTGATGAACAGTAGGCTTTTAGCAGTTAAGTTTTGGGGAGTCAAAAGTTGTATGTGCATTTTTTTTACTGTATTGGGGGTCAGCACCCCTACCTCCCACACTGTTCAAAGATCAACTGTACTTTATTGCTCAAAAATGCTAACAGTAGGCTATTAGTAGTTAACTTTTTGTTAGTGGAGGGTCTCACCTTGATATTGATGGCTGTTGATTAGTCAGGGCAGTGGCCGATGAAGGTTGGGATGGCTGACGCAATTTTTGAAAATAAGACAATAATAAAGTTTGCTGTATCAGCTGACTCTTCATGAAAGATTTCTCTGCAGAATGCAATGCTATTTTATAGCATTTTACCCACAAGAGAAGTTCTTTCCAACTTGGAGTCAATGCTCTCAAAGTCTGCCACTGCTTTTCAACTAAATTTATGTAATATCCTAAATCCTTTGCTGTCATTTCAACAATGTTCACAGCATCTTCACTATGAGTAGATTCCATCTCAAGAAACCACTTTCATTGTTCATCTATAAGAAGCTACTCTTGGCCGGGTGCATTGGCTCATGCCTATAATCTAAGCACTTTGGCACGTTGGGAGGCCAAGGCAGGTGGACACTTGAGAGCACGAGTTTGAGACCAACCTGGCCAAAATGGCAAAACTCTGTCTCTACTAAATATAAAAAATTAGCTGCGTATGGTGGCGCTTGCCTGAATCCCAGCTACTCAGGAGGCTGAGGCACGAGAATAGCTTGAACACAAGAGGTGGAGGTTGCAGTGAGCCGAGATCGCACCACTGCACTCTGGCTTGGGTGACAGAGCGAGACTCTGTCTCAAAACAAAACAAAACAAAGAAGCAATTCCTCATCCATTCAAGTTTTATCATGAGAAAGCAGCAATTCATTTCCATCTTAAGGCTCCACTTCTAATTCTAGCTTTTTTTTTGCTATTTCCACCACATCTGCAGTTACTTCCTCCACTGAAGTTTTGAACCTCTCAAAGTCATATAGGAGGGTCGGAATCAACTTCTTTCAAATTCCTGCTAATGTTGATAGATACTTTGAAATCCCATGAATCATGAATGTTCTTAATGGCATCTATAATAGTGAATCCTTTCCAGAACGTTTTCAATTCACCTTGCTCAGATCCATCAGAGCAGTCACTCAGAGTCTCGCTCTGTTGCCCAGGCTGGAGTGCAGTGGTGTGATCTTGGTTCACTGCAACCTCTGCCTCCCAGGTTCAAGCGATTCTACTGCCTCAGCCTCCCAAGTAGCTGGGATTACAGGTGTCCGCCACCACGCTCAGCTAATTTTTGTATTTTTAGTAGAGACAGTGTTTCATCATGTTGGCCAGGCTGGCCTCGAACTACTGACCCCAGGTGATCCACCCACCTCAGCCTCCCAAAGTGCTGGGATTACAGGCATGTGCCACTGTGCCCGGCCAAAAATGTATTTCTTAACTACTAAAACTTGAAAGTTCAAAGTACTCCTTAGTCCATGGGTTGCAGAATGGATGTTGTGTTTGCATGCGTGAATGGATGTTGTGTTTGCATGTGTGAAAACATTATCTCCTTGCATATCTCCATCAGAGCTCTCAGTTGATCAGGTGCACTGTCAATGAACAGTAATATTTGGAAAGGATCTTTTACTATGACCAGTAGGTCTCAAGAGTGGACTTAACATATTCAGTAAACCACACTGTTAACAGATGTGCTGTCATTCAGACTTCGCTGTTCCATTTATAGAGCACAGGCATAGATTTAGCACAATTCTTAAAGGCCCCAGGATTTTCAGAATGGTCAATGAGCACCGGGTTCAACTTAAAGTAACCAGTTGCACTTTTCCCTAACAAGAGAGTTAACCTGATTTTTGAGGCTTTGAAGCCAGGCATTGGCTTCTCCTCTGCACCTATGGAAGTCCAGGATGGCATCTTATTCCAATAGAAGGCTGTTTTGTCTAGGGTTGTTGTTTAGTGTAGCCATCTTCATCAACAATCTTAGCTAGATCTGGATGACTCACTACAGCTTCTACATTAGCATTTGTTGCTTCAGCTCACACTTTATATTATGAAGATGGCTTCTTTCCTTAAACTTCATGAACCAACCTCTGCTTACTTCAAACTTTTCTTCTGCAGCTTCCTCACCTCTCTCAGCCTTTATAGAATTGAAGAAAGGTAGGGCCTTACTGTGGATTAACCTTTGGCTTAAGGGAATGCTGTGACTAGTGTCATCTTCTATCCAGACCACTAAAACTTTCTCCATATTAGCAATAAGGTTGTTTAATTTGCTTATCATTGGTGTATTCACTGGAGTAGCACTTTTGATTTCCTTCAAGAATTTTTCTTTTGTATTCACAACTATTTGGTGCAAGAAGCCTAGCTTTTGGCCTGTATCAGCTTTTGACATGCCTTCTTCACTAAGCTTAATCATTTCCAGCTTTTGATTTAAACCTAGAAACATGTGATTCTTCCTTTCACTTGACTACTTAAGAGGACATTGTAGGGCTACTAACTGGCCTAATTTCAATATTGCTATGTCTCATGGAATAGGGAAAGAGAAAGAGACTAGGGGACCGTTGGTTGGTAGAGCAGTCAGCACACACACAACATTTATTGATTAATTCACCATCTCAAATGGGCATGGTTGATGGTGACCAAAAACAATTACAATAGTAACATTAAAAATCACTGATCATAGATGACCATGACAGATATAAAAATAACAATAATAAAGTTTGAAATATTGTGAGAATTACCAAAATGTGACACACAGGCATGAAGTGAGCACATACTGTTGGAAAAAATGGCACTGATAGAGTTGCAACATGGTTGTCGCAAGCCTCTAATTTGTAAAAAAAAATGCAACTATCTCTGAAGCACAATAAAGAGAAGCACAATAAAACAAGGTATGGCTGTATTTCGATGCTTCTATTAAAATAAAATCCCCCAAATAGTTAGCTCAAAACTTTTAAATTCCCAAGTGGTTGGAAGATTTTCGTCCATTTACTTTTTCTTTTACTATATACTTTTACTGCTTTGGGGTCAGTGTTGTTGTCTGTTTTAAAATTTCTTAGCCAGACTTGGTGGCTCACCCTTGTAATTCCAAGTACTCCAGAGGCTAAGGCAGGAGTATCACTTGAGGCTAGGTGTTTGAGACTAGCCTGAGCAACACAGTGATACCCCATCTCTACAAAAAATTAAAATAGTAGCCTGGCATGGTGGTATGCACCTATAGTCCCAGCTATTGCAGAGGCGGAGGCAGGAGGATTGCTCGAACTCAGGAGCTCCAGGTTGTGGTGAGGTATAATATGAATGTGCCACTGCACTCCACCCTGAGTGACATAGTAAGACCCCGTCTCACTAAAAAAAAAAAAAATATATATATATATATATATATATATGAATGAAATAAAATTTATTGTATTTTCTTACTATCCTGCATGAAAGGGTTTTTAATATATGGTGCATAATCTGATCTATAACTTTTACAGCAATGCATTATATTATTTTGATTCTATTTTTGCATATTTGTTTTTTGATTACTAGATCTGTCAGGAGCTGTTCTCCAAATTATCCTCTATGTGCATCACTTTCTCCATGATGTCCTATAAAGTACTTCCTTGCCCCCTTTTCCAGGTCTTCTTCCATTCCTAAACCTTTTCACTCCATTTTATCCTCAACTTCTACCTCCTTATCTGAAGGTTCCACCACTTCCCTATCAAATAGTAGTTGTTTGTTTTCATACCATGCACCCTCAGGGGTAGGAGAGTGTTTTGGTATTCTCCTTACAGCCCACTGAGACCTCAAAATCTCTAGTAGAAAACTACCCTCCACTTCCCATTCTATTCTTATGTCAATGTCTACATGTATGATCTACCCACCACTGTAACTCATTTTCATAATCTCTTTATCTCCAATAACCTCCTTCATTTCACCTAAGCCAGCAATTTCTTTTTTTTTTTTTTTATTATACTTTAAGTTTTAGGATACATGTGCACATTGTGCAGGTTAGTTACATATGTATACATATGCCATGCTGGTGCGTTGCACCCACTCGTCATCTAGCATTAGGTATATCTCCTAATGCTATCCCTCCCCACTCCCACCACCCCACAACAGTCCCCAGAGTGTGATATTCCCCTTCCTGTGTCCATGTGATCTCATTGTTCAGTTCCCACCTATGAGTGAGAATATGCGGTGTTTGGTTTTTTGTTCTTGCGATAGTTTACTGAGAATGATGATTTCCAATTTCATCCATGTCCCTACAAAGGACATGAACTCATCATTTTTTATGGCTGCATAGTATTCCATGGTGTATATGTGCCACATTTTCTTAATCCAGTCTATCATTGTTGGACATTTGGGTTGGTTCCAAGTCTTTGCTATTGTGAATACTGCTGCAATAAACATACGTGTGCATGTGTCTTTATAGCAGCATGATTTATAGTCCTTTGGGTATATACCCCGTAATGGGATGGCTGGGTCAAATGGTATTTCCAGTTCTAGATCCCTGAGGAATTGCCACACTGACTTCCACAATGGTTGAACTAGTTTACAGTCCCACCAACAGTGTAAAAGTGTTCCTATTTCTCCACATCCTCTCCAGCACCTGTTGTTTCCTGACTTTTTAATGACTGCCATTCTAACTGGTGTGAGATGGTATCTCATTGTGGTTTTGATTTGCATTTCTCTGATGGCCAGTGATCATGAGCATTTTTTCATGTGTTTTTTGGCTGCATAAATGTCTTCTTTTGAGAAGTGTCTGTTCATGTCCTTCGCCCACTTTTTGATGGGGTTGTTTGTTTTTTTCTTGTAAATTTGTTTGAGTTCATTGTAGATTCTGGATATTAGCCCTTTGTCAGATGAGTAGGTTGCAAAAATTTTCTCCCATTTTGTAGGTCGCCTGTTCACTCTGATGGTAGTTTCTTTTGCTGTGCAGAAGCTCTTTAGTTTAATTAGATCCCATTTGTCAATTTTGTCTTTTGTTGCCATTGCTTTTGGTGTTTTAGACATGAAGTCCTTGCCCATGCCTATGTCCTGAATGGTAATGCCTAGGTTTTCTTCTAGGGTTTTTATGGTTTTAGGTCTAACGTTTAAGTCTTTAATCCATCTTGAATTAATTTTTGTATAAGGTGTAAGGAAGGGATCCAGTTTCAGCTTTCTACATATGGCTAGCCAGTTTTCCCAGCACCATTTATTAAATAGGGAATCCTTTCCCCATTGCTTGTTTTTCTCAGGTTTGTCAAAGATCAGATAGTTGTAGATATGCGTAAGCCAGCAATTTCTATGGCTATGACTTGGTTTTTGACATTATCCATAACTACCGAACCTCTGAAATCACTAACACAAACATCTCACTGTCTGATAACTTCCTCTTCATCCAACTTGCATGTTCAACTACTTTGTTCAATTTTATCTAGGATTTCCAAACCACTAAACTTTCTATCTTCTCCCAGACCTTTTTTTTTTTTTGAGACAGTCTTGCTCTGTTGCCCAGGCTGGAGTGCAGTGGTGTGATCTTGGCTCACTGCAACCTCTGCCTCCCAGGTTCAAGTGATTCTCCAGCCTCAGCTTCTGGAGTAGTTGGGACTACAGGCAGGCGCTGCCATGCCCAGCTAATTTTTGTATTTTTAGAAGAGATGGGGTTTTGCCATGTTGGGCAGGCTGGTCTTGAACTCCTGACCTCAAGAGATCTGCCCATCTTGGCCTCCCAAAGTGCTGGGATTACAGTCATGAGCCACCGTGCCTGGCCTCCCAGACTATTACTACTATTACTGTCTACTTTCTTCACTTCTCCCTCTATCCCACTTAGATTTCACCATCCACCACTTCAGTAACATTCTTGCCAATATTCTAAACTCTCTTGCCTCTTTGTCTCTTCATTGTGCTCATGTGGCAAAATCCAGTGCTGAGTAAATCCAGCCATTTGTTTTTTCTAAGGCTGTGACTGGTGAACTCACTTCTATCCCAAAACACAGGGTAGAATGTTTCATTATAAATTATGACTCCAACTTCAAAAAGGATCCTCAATACTGCTTACCATTCTACCACATTTTCCTGATAAACTGATAGTCTTCTATTTCCCTGAATAACTATTTTCAAACCTCCTTCACTCTACTTCAACTTATGACCAACCTTCCTTTTCCTCCAGCCATCCTCAATAGCTAAACTCAGCATCTGCTTTACAAGGAAAATATAATCAAATGAGAGCTCCTCAGCTTTCCCCATGCCAAACACACAAACCAACTTATATTTGCTTCCCATACTGTTAAAACAGAGGAGCTATCTCATATCCTATTTAAGAATCCATCTCCTTCCATCTTAGAATTTATTGTTTTCTCTCTGCTCCTTCTCATTGTTTTTACACACAATTAAAACTCTCTGAATAAACCAAAAACCAGCTCTACTCAATCCTATATCCTTCTTTAGCTATCTCTTACTGGTGATTTTCATCAGAAAAAAAATTTGTTACACAGGTATACAGAAATTTATTAGGTACATCATATGTGCTTAGAGGGTTTCTCAAAATAAAACTACATGATTTGGTACTTATGGAAATATTTCATGTATATGTTTATAGGAAAAGAATATACTCAACTTAGTAGAACATATCTTAGTTAAGATACATGGAGATATGAGATAAGTAATAGGTTCTACATTCTTCCTGCAAAAGTCATAGAGCTAAGAATGCTCTGCATAAGGATAACTCCTATTGTTAGAGCCATGGAATCCTCACCTCATGCTACTAACATTCTAATGTGCAAAAATCACAAATAAGTAAACCCTCAGGGGCAGAGCAACAGTAATCTTGTGAATTTCACCTTGGAAGACAGAAGAGCTAGGGAGGCATGAAAGGAAGGGACAAAAAGTGAGATGGTATCAGGGGGGAATATGGTAGCAAAGAAAAGCAGTCTAAGAAAATGGTGACCAGAATAAAATAAACCTAAGTGCTCATGAATCCACATAGCCTTGTCTACCCAACTTGGTCGACAAGGTTAAACAGGACAGCCTGAATTGGCAGGCACTAGAAACTATTCTCGAGTGAACGAGTATACATTGTTATCATCTCCAGCAGTCTTCTGCATTGACGACTCTCTCTGTCCTTTGCTGCCCTCATAGAAGTTCAAGCTCATTCAGAAGGGGAACAACAGATAAGAGGTCAAGATCTCTTGGTCTCTCTCTCACAGCTGAACTTTTTGAACAAGTTGTCAATTTCTACTGTGTCTCCACTTCTGCAACTCTCAATCATTCCTTTACCCACTCTAGTTTGGCTTTCAGCTCCATGGCTCAATCAATACAGCTCTTGCTAAATCTCTTCAAAATATACGGTGTGGTTTATTACCTTGTTCTTGAAATAATCTTTTCCTTTGGTTTACATGATATAACCCTCTTCTAGCTGTCCTCCTACTTCTGAGGTTGCCACTTTCTTTTTTCTTTGTTGCCAAATCTTCCTCAATACACACTGCTTTTCCTCCTGCCACAGGGCTTTTCATGTAAGTCTTCCCTCATCATGAAACACTTCCTTTTCATTCCTTGCCTAACTCCCAGTCAGCATTCAGATATCGATTTAATCAATACTTCCTTGGGAAACTGTCCCTGACTATGACAAATTCCTCCCTAGCTAAGTCAAATGGTCTCAGAGCACTACTCCTTCAAGTGCAATTACCATAGTTGTCTCCCATCCAGCAGCTGTAAATATCATAAGTGTAGGAACTGTGTGTTTTTACTCATTATTATTCATTACGTGTTTTTATTCATTACAATGCATACTACTGTATCTATTATGGCAGGTATCAATACATTGATATTCACATATCAATGTTACATATATAAACAAATGACTAAACACTTTACCCGAAGTACTTTGAATGATTTTTTTTTCCAATTAAAGGAGTCTTGACTAAAATATTATCTATTCATTCAAACAATAACTCAGTAACTGAGTGCCTAGGCACTAACCAATAAATTGGAATAAAGAAGTAACAAAAACAGATATGCTCTCTACTCTTATGGTGCATACTATCTAAAGAAAGAGTTATTAAATTAATCATACAAGTAAGTTTATTATGGTTTTATTTATATGCTACAAAAGACAACTTAGAATGATATAAACTATGATGGGGTATCTAATTTACACTGTTGGGAGGCAAAAATATGCTCTACCTCTCGAGAGCTATGTTTATCTCCTTTGGTGTTGGATGGTTTTTCATGGTCTTTGAACGTTTTCCCGGTTTATTCATCTTTGAATAAGGATATTGTGGCCTGGTATTAGCCCCAAAATTAGAAGGAGTATCCCTGAATTCTCCGAAAGCTTATCCATGGATAGGAAGGCTGATGGTATACATTTAAAACATTTCATGTGCCAATGCCAGCCTCTCGTATTCTGCTTTTGTTTTGGGAATTCTTGTGTTTGGATGGCAAAGGAGAGGTGCTGCTGGGGTGGGATCATGGGACACAAAACACTCTGGTGATCCTGAAAACCAACATTCCCAGGTGGGTTAGCATTTCAGTTTGGCTGCATTCTAAGCCCTGGGGAATATGGCTTGGGTGGAAGAGAGTAAAGGGAATGGGGAACGGGAGAAGATGAGGAACAAAACAGGATTTTTCTTCCAATTTTCATGACTTACATGTGGCCAAAAAATTCAATGGCCTTATACAGTTAGTGAAAATAGCTCTCAAAATCAGTCAATGTATTAAGTGTTATTCCTAGTATTACATTAATTTGTCATTTTTTTTCTATACTTCATTAGGTATTTTAGTGACAAACTGGGCAAGGCTGTAACTACTGCTAATCAGGTATCATTTTAAACTAGAACTCATTACTTTCTAAAACAGGATGAAGGTGTAATTAGTATTCAGAGTAACTACTATGTTAAATGGAAAATAAGTTAGAGAATGAGTACATTAAAACGGATTTTAGTTCCATGATATTAAATACTTTTAACGATACTCACTGTTCTGAAATTCCTTGTACTTCTTTTGCCCAGTTAGATTGTTCTTTATCTCCAAGATGAACCACTTTAGATGGTGGGGCAGTTCTTCCTGAATAAAGCTTCTGTGTTCCTGGAGGTTCTTCCAAGTAAAACCTTAAGAGTTAAAATAAAAATTATATAACCAAAATGTTCTGGTTTAATATAGAGTTCTAGCAGTGTGAGTCTTCCAAATGAAATATTTTTTTCACATGGTATACTAGCAAAAAACCCCACAACTGTAATGTAAATTACAAAACTATAATAATTACAGGTCTTTTTATAAACTAATATAAATTACAGAACAAGGCTTGTTAATTTCATTCAAATTTTAAAAGCATGGGAAGTACAGAGGAAGAAGAAGATAAGTTGGTTAATACAAAGTTAGATAGAAGGAATAAGTTCCAGTGTTCTATAGCAACAGTAGGTTGACCACAGTTAACAATTTAGTGTATATTTGAAAATAGCCAGAAGAGATTGAAAATGTTCCCAACACAAAGAAATGATAAGTGTTTGAGGTAACAGATAATTTGAAAATTACATGTCATATACATGGATCAAAATATCACATGTATTCTACAAATATATACAATTATTATGTATCAAAAAAATTTAAGGTTGGGTGCAGTGGCTCATGCCTGTAATCATAGCATTTTGGGAGGCTGAGATGTGAGGATTACTTGAGGCCAGAAATTCAAGACCACCCTGGCAACATATTGAGACAGTGTCTCTACAAAGAAAAATAAAAAAAATATGCCAGGTATGGTAACACATATCTGTAGTCCCAGATACTCGGGAGGCTAAGATGGGAGGATCACTTGAGCCCAGGAGTTTGAGGCTGCAGTGAGCTATGATTGCCACTGCACTTGGGGCGACAGAGCAAGACCTTGTCTCTCCCAATCAGTCAGTCAGTCAATAAAATTTAAAAGCATATTTTTTTCCTAAGAGACTAAACATATAAAAATAAACATTTTTAAAGAGTTAAAAATACAAATTCAATATGAAGTATGCATTATCTACAAAGTTTTTTTTTTTTTTTAAGAGATGGGGTCTCATTCTGTCACCCAAGCTGGAGTACAGTGGAGTGATCATAGCTCACTGCAGCCTCAAACTTCTGGGCTCAAGCAATCCTCCTGCCTCAGTCTCTTGAGAAGCTAGGACTACAGGTGCACACCACCATGCCTAGCTAATGATTTTATTTTTTGTAGAGACAGAGTCTCACTATGATGCCCAGGCTGGTCTTGAACTCCTGGCCTCAAGAGATCCTCTCACCTCGGCCTCCCAAAGTGCTGAGATTACAGGCTTGAGCCACCACACCTGGCCCCTATAAAGTATTTTCACCAAAACAGTTTAACCTGAATCTAATTCAGCTACTAGCCCTAACTTCTAGCTTACAGGAAATATGTGGGATAGACGACAAAGTTAAATGACACTAAAAGGAAACAACAGAGTAAATCCAGAATTCTACAAAATAACTGGCTGTCCTAAACTCTAAAAATAAAATAAAAAGGAAAAAATATTCTAAGATATAAAATCAACATAAAAAATCAATTGTATTTTTATATACTAGCAGGGGAAACAAATTTAAAACATAATACCATTCATACTCACTCCAAGAAAAATTACATACTCAGGTATAAGTCTAACAAAACATGTACCTGATCAGTATGATGAAAAAAACCAAAACAATGATGAGAGAAATCAAAGATCTAAATAAATGAAGAGATATATTGTGTTCATGGATAAGAATATTCAACATAGTTAAATCTCCCCAAATTGATCTATAGGTTTAATACAATTCATATAAAAATCCCTCCAAGATTTTTTGGAGATATAGGAAAATTATAAAATGTATATGAAAAGGCAAAGGACCTAAAATAGCTAAAACAATTCTGAAAAAAAAAAAAAAAAAAAGTGAAGTTGAAGGAATCACACTACCTGATGTTAAGACCATGGTAATCAAGCCAATGTGTTACTGGCATAAAAACAGACATGGAGGAAGCACAGTCTTTTCAACAAATGATGCTGAAGCAACTGAATATTCATACACAAATACATGAAAGTAGATCTGCCCCTTATACCTTATACAAAAATTAATTCAAAATGGATTACTGATTTCATATAAAATGAGGTAAACCTATAAAACTTTTCAAAGAAAATATCAAAGAAAATCTTCTGGATCTAGGGCTAGAATAAGAGCTCTTAGACATGACACCAAAAGCATAAAAAAATTAATAAATTGGACTTCATCAGAAAGGTAGGGGAATTAAATTCTGATAAAAAAAATCCTCAAGATTTCATATACAAAAGCAGATGCCAACAAAGGAAAAAAACCGTACTGGCACTGACTTCTCATCAACATTACATAAAATAACATAATGGAGAGATGTATGCAGAGCTCTAAGAGAAAAGGAAAAGAAACTGGGCCTCCAAAATTCTAAACCTATGTGTAAATTTAAAAAAAAAAAAAGACATTTCGGATGTGTAATAACTCAAAATCAAAAAACATAATATCTACCCATCTTCTCTGAAAAAAAATTATTTCAGAAAATTCTAGCCATATGAAAAATAAAATATAAGAAATCAAGATAAAATTTATATGAAATAATAAAAAAACGACAAAAAATAATTTATCTAAACATTTATTGATATAAACGATTGTGAATTTCAATGAAATGTTAAGATATTTTTCTTAAAACAAAAGATATGTGCCCTAAAAAATTAATGTACAATTTAAATGAAATCCAGATGGGGCAGGGAAAAGGGAAGGTTACATATGCTATTAATTCTTGTTAGAAAGAGAAATGTATTTGCTAAGTAATATAATGATAACCACTTCTAGAAAAGAATTAGGATATAGAACTTCCAAGAAATTAAAAGGGAAAAAATAACATATGCATCTAAAATATCTCAAGAGAGGTACAATAAACTGTCAATAGTGTTTGAACTTCAAGTGGTGTCATTAGACGACTTTCATTTTTGGTACAGAGTGTAAATGTTCTTAATATAATTTTGTCAGTTAAAAAAATGAATCAATAAAAGCCATCAAAGTCACAAAGCAAATATATGTTAGAAAAATTATAAATCAAATCTTACTTACTTAGTTTCTCCATCTGATACAGCCACGACTCTAGCTTCCTCAAGGTGAGGCCAATTAACAAAGACAGATTTTCCAAGCACTGATGAAGCTACATTTTCTACGGTCTTAAAGTAAAAGCAAAAAAGTTCATTCATGATTTCAGGTCTAAGAGAAAACTTTACACAGGCAAAATTTTCCAATCTCCATTTAAGTTTTTTAAATTCTAAAATAAACAAGTTGGGGCCGGGTGCAGTGACTCACACCTGTAATCCCAAAACTTAAAGTCCAGAGGTCAAGACCAGCTTGGCAAACATGATGAAACCCCATCTCTACTAAAATTACAAAAATTAGCCAGGTGTGGTGGCACACGCAGTAGTCCCAGCTACCCGGAGGCTGAGGCAGCAGAATCGCTTGAACCCAGGAGGCGGAGGTTGCAGTGAGGTGAGATTGCACCACTGCACTCCAGCCTAGGCAACAGAGCAAGACTCCGTCTCAAAAATAAATAAATAAATAAATAAAATGAACAAGTTGAATTAGTTGCTTTACAAAATTCCATCTTCCATCCAGGTGTAAAACTCTATCATTCTAATTATCTTCCTTATTTTTTTATGGTAACTGAGAAAAATAAAAAGAACAGCAGAAATATCTAGAAAAGAACTATTGACTGTTTCATATCAAATAGTCAATTATTTAAAACAGGATCTAAGAAATACAAGCTCATTTCAGTTTATGGCTGGTGTGATGAAAAAAGAATATTAGACTTAAAATCAGGAGACACGGGTCCAAATTTGGGTTCTACCACTTTTTCAGCTATAGAATCTTTGGCATATCATTTAATCCTACTGAATCTCAGTTTTCTTTTATGAGGAAAAGGAATAACATCTACCTTACAATGTTGAGGATAAAAGAAAATCATATACATGAAAGCTTTCATAAACCATAAAATGCTCTACAAATATTCTGTAGGAAATAATATCTTAAGTAAAAAATTCTAGTTTTAAGAAACTGTAGGCTGGGCGCTGTGGCTCACGCCTGTAATCCCAGCACTTTGGGAGGCCGAGGCAGGTGGATCACGAAGTCAGAAGTTCAAGACCAGCCTGGCCAAGATGGTGAAACCCGGTCTCTACTAAAAATACAAAAAAAAAATTGGCCAAGCGTGGTGACAGGAGCCTGTAATTCCAGCCACTCGGGAGGCTGAGGCAGGAGAATCGCTCCTGGGCAGCAGAGGATGCAGTGACCCAAGATAGCGCCACTGCACTCCAGCCTGGGTGACAGAGTGAGACTCTGTCAAACAAACAAACAAACACATAACTTCTTGACCAAGGGCTTAATACTTGCTACCTTTACTTCCCGTCTACACAATCTTAGCCTAGTTCTCAGAAATTGAAATTCTGCTTCCACCAATCTACCGAAATGGAATTTTCAAAGATCAACATTGATGTTCTAAAAGACAAATTCACAGATCTTATTTGAGTTTTTATTATTCTTCAGATTTATGCAGCTTACATCCTCTGCTCCATGCTTCTGTGGTACTATTTAACTTTGGAATCACTCTTCCTAACCTCTCTGTTTCTACTGGCTCCCTCTCCACCATTTATAACTGTGGGCATTTCTTTATGCTGAGACCATGAACACTCAATGCACCTTGTCTTCAAGGAAATGAACCTCAAAGTCATCAATTCTCTGTTGACAACTTGAATATCCTTCTCTCTCTCCAAGCTCTAGCTCCAGGTATTTAACTGTATATAAATAGCCTTTCTTTTTTTTTTCCTTTTTTGAGATGGAGTTTCGCTCTTGTCACCCAGGCTGGAGTGCAGTGGCGCGATTTTGGCTCACTGCCACGTCCACCTCCTGGGTTCAAGCAATTCTCCTGCCTCAGCCTCCCGAGTAGCTGGGATTACAGGCACCCACCACCAAGTTTGGCTAATTTTTGTATTTTCAGTAGAGATGGGGTTTCACCATGTTGGCCAGACTTGTCTTGAACTCCTGACCTCAGATGATATGCCCGCCTCAGCCTCCAAAAGTGCTGGGATTACAGACGTAAGCCACCATGCCCAGCCATAAACAGACTTTCTAAACAGGTTTTTCATCTGAATCAGAGAACACAAAATACGTCTACTTTCTCTGTTCTCTCAAAGATGGTACATAACTCCTACTGTTCTAAATGCACAGAAGATAAGTTAATTTATTGCTTACAATGAATGACTTAGGGCATTAGGGCTTATACATCTTGTGGAATACTGGTTAAGAAAGGCTGGCAAGGCAGTTCCGGTTAAACATCCTAGTGTTACCTTAAAATTCCATCATTATTTATCATTTCATCCCCCTAAACTATCAACTCCCCTGTTTTAACTTTTCTAGTCCAGTAAATTACAATTTTTTTTTTAGTTAATTAGCCTGGATATCTCAGTCACATTTACTATTAATAGTTTCTCTTTTCACCCCCTGTATTTGACCAAATAATGAAACCTATCAGTTTTATTTCATCTTGTTCATCTAGATCTATTGCTACTTCTGAAGTTTATGTCTCTATCACCTGATGCTACACTCGCAAGCTTTCCCGCTTTCTTTGATTTCTCTTTTGTGCAATTTAGTTTATTATACTGCCACCAAATTAATCTTTATGAAAATATCAATTCCAAAATAATGGTCATGGGAAAATAAGTCCAAACTCAGCCTGGTACTCAAGGTTCGACATAATCTGGCCTCAATCTGATTTTTCAAACTTATCTTCTACTATTTCCAAACACAAATCCTCTGCTTCAATAAGGCTTATTTATTCCTTCTCCTCAAATATATCACATTTATTCTAAAGAAAAGACTAAGTGTTAAGAAATAGTTCAGATACACAAAAAGGTTAAAAACAATAATATATGACATTTTTGACTGAAATGACTGGCTCATGATATTTCTTTTGACTAGAATGCCTTTCCCCTCCTTTTCTGTGTCCTAACCTGTTTTTCAGTCCTCAGCTCAAGCCTATTCTCATTTACAAGTCTATACTTAACTTTTGGTTTACATAGCTCTTCTCCTTTTTAAAATTTCTAGAAAATTTGTATATTCATTGTGTCACAGTGATACAGGTTCTTGAACTATTATCTAATTTGTATGAATGTTTCTTTGCTTCATCCTTATTTAGGCTCCAAATTTCTAGAGTTACAACATATAATACCTCCCTGGTAAACATCCCAGCAGCTACAGTTTAATACATTATAGGCATCTAATAAATGAATGATAAATAAAATACTTACAAGTTCATCTGATTCTGCATCCACTAAGATTTCCAACATCATGTTTTCTCCACGACTGCTTTGCTGGAATACTTGAACACCACTTTTCTTCAAAAAAAACTTTAAAAGAATTCAAATAATTTAATTTTAATTCTTTCTCCATAATCACTTCACACTTAATAAAGTGAAAAAATTCTGAACTAAATAGCCACTGACTTTGTGTCTGATGTGTTTCAGAGTAGGAAATCCACAGAAATATAATGCTTTCTGGTCAATTCTGGTTATTTTGTTTTTGTTTATGTCTACACGCCAAGCATCTAAGGATATTATTTTATACCTAGAAAATAAATCAAGGCATTTAATTTAAAATTAATACATTACAAACAATTACAGTTTTTTAACTTTCCCTTGTATATTTCGTAAGAGTCATCCTTGCTTTTAAAGAAGAGAATGACAATTAGTTCCAGACAAAGAAAACACAAGCAGATAACCAGCCTCTCTATTGTTACTGGTCTAGACACAATCATGCCTGTAGATTACTAAGTTGAGATTTTCCCCATTAATCTAAAACAAAACTATATATATAAATTTTAAGATAAAATATGACACATAACACAAATCTCTATATCCTCCATGTTCCAAAACCCAGGATGGAAAATAAACATTTTATAATGCCTGTTTTATCTTTCTCTTTCCTTTAACAAAAGGAAAAGTTGTAACTGAGAGATGTTTACTTTATTTGCAACTCAATTGCCATCTGGGTAGATTATTTGCAGGGAAGGTGAGAGAAGAGAAAAAAAAGGAAGATATTTTCATGAAGAGAAAAAAATGGAGCTCTTTATTTCTTATTTCCTTCTTTCTAGTTGGGTGGCTGGGGGGTATAATCAATATCACAGCGTATCAAATAATGCTGGGAGCAGAAACACTGACAATGGAAACAAAAATTCACATATCCATTCGAGGGAGACAAAATGCAGGGATATACATTAGAGAGAAAAAATTCAAACACTTTTAATAGAAGAAGGAAAGAGAAACAAAGAATCTGACCAAAGTAGAGAATTATAGACACAAGTGTGAAAGATCCTTAGATCCTCTGCAAGTTAGATGTAACTCATTGATTATCAATTGACTATAACTGTCATAAACTATTTGCTAATTCTCCAAACAGATATTCAAAGCTCCCCCTTCACCACTTCTCGCACCCTTGTGTTAGGAGCGCTCTTTTGTTGTTGAAAAATTACCAAGTAACATTACCTTGTACAACATCGTTCTATGGCAGGGAACTTTTCTGGCCATGGAGAAGGATAGATAAACTCTGTGTCTCTATCATACCAGCACATTAGGCACTCACTATGTTGGTTTCTTTTCCTCTCTTCCTTTTTGAGGGAGTGGTTACATGTCTCCATGGCTTCCAATAATCGCTTCTGAATATAAGGATTGAAGAGAAGGGTTACAAGCATAAAAATTCCATAATCTCAACAAACAGAATAAGTCTTTTTCCTCCATATACAGAATAACCATTTGTGCTCTTGAAAAACAAAAAACCAAAATCTTAACTAATGAAACTCTTCCATTTTATTGCATGAAAAATATGCTATTTATTGTTTCAAAGGGCCCTAGAATACTGCTACCACTGCAAAGTTCTCTGAAGCTATTACCCCAACAGTTGCCACTAAAGTGCAAATAAGCAAGGCAGCAGAAAATCAAATTTTAAGTGTGAATCTATTATAATACTATATCATAATTCACAGAGCATTAATCTCTTACTTTACAAATTCTGTAGTAGTATAGTGATGTCCATCTTTCCAAATTAACTTATACATTTAAAGTAATTCCAGTCAGGACATCAATGATTTAAAATATCTTTTTTTTAAAAAAAGAATAAGATACCAGTGTTAATATGGAAGAATAAATGTATGGACAGTAAAAAGTAACCAGGGACTTGTCTTACCAGATTCTATCACTTTTGATAAAGCTACTGTAATCAAAACACTAGTACTGACACTACAAGAGACCCACAGACCAGAAGAACAGAATAGAGTTCAATAATAGACCCAAATCTATGCCAAAACAGTCCTTTAGGTATTTAAATAATGACAATGTCCTAACTAGCTATCCAGCTGAAAAAAAAGCACATACACTTCTGAACTTCCTACCATATATAAAAACAAGTATCACAATAACAAAATAACAAATGTATCAGAAGAAAATCTAGGTGGTATTGATAATTTAGTGTGATAAAGTTTTATTTAAGGAAGACAGAAAAAAAACGAACAGCCTTAAGGGGAAAGACATTTTTTAAGTAAAAGATAATGTATATGACAGAAGATGCCATATACAAATCAAGAGACAGATGTGATACTGGGGAAAACTATTTCTAATATATAAAGTAGCTAAAAATCAAAAGAAAAAAAGAAAGAGAAATGGGGAGAGAATATAAACAAGCAAATTACAAAAGAGAAAATGGAAAAGGTAAACATACATAAAAGTATTTTCAATAAGACATATGGACCAATGGAACAAAATAGAAAGCCCAGAAATAAATCCATAATTTATAGCCATCTGATTTTTGACAAGGTTGCCAAGAACACACAACAGGGCAAGGATTGCCTCTTCAATAAATGGTGTTGGGACAACTGAATATCCATATGCAGAAGAATAAAACTGGACTTTTATCTTACCATAAACAAAATCAACTCAAAATGGATTAAAAACCTAAACATTAAGACCTTAAACTATAAAACTACTAGAATAAAACACAGGACAAAAGCTTCTTGACACTGCTCTTGGCAATAATTTTTTGGATATGACTGCTGACATGGCTGAATTAATAAAGTCATATTTGGGAGAAAGTAGATGGCAAAAAGGCATAAACATTTTTGTTTTTGTTTTGAGACAGGGATTTGCTCTGACACCCATGCTGGAGCGCAGTGAGGCAATCATGGCTCACTGCAGCCTCAACCTCCTGGGCTCAAGTGATCCTCTCACTTCAGTCTCCCAGGTAGCTGGGAATACAGGTATACACCACAACATCCAGTTCATTTTTTTTTTTTTTGGTAGAGGTTGGGTCTTGCTGTGTTGCCCAGGGTGGGCTTGAACTCCTGGGCTCAGGCAATCCTCCCAAAGTGTTGAGATTACAGGTGTGAGCCATAAACATTATTTTTGATGAGAATTTCAGCTGGAGGATGAGCACAACAGTTGTTAAGATATAACAAAATCTTGCAGTCATCATCCAGTCAGCTTCCCTGCAGTAAGCACAAGCTGCTGGTACAAAATGTTTGTGAAACCAATCTGAAAAGATGTCCCTGGTGATCCATGCCTTTTTATTAGCATAATAATGGATTGGTATGAAATTCACTCCTTGAAAACAGTGAGAACGCAAGCTTTTGCTTATAACAGCAAGTTTACACTTATGCATGCCTGCTGCGTAAGTATATCTCAGCACAGTTATTTGGTCTTTGGCATCCTTAATTCTTGGAAGGGCTGTTTCATCAGCTGCAGTCAGTGTCTTTCTGGGGCAATAATGCCCGAACAGTGATGTTTCATCAGCATTACAGACTTGTTCCAACATCACTAGCAAAGACCCTGGCAAACGTGTCATTGAATTTCTCTAGCTTCATGATAAGCAGGTGCTTTATCATCCCAAACATTTAAAAATTCAATGCTGTGACTTTTAAAATTTATTTATTTATTTATTTGATGGAGTATCACTCTGTCACCACACTGGAGTGCAGTGGCACAATCTCGGCTCACTGCAACCTCCACCTCCTGGGTTCAAGCAATTCCCATGCCTCAGCCTCCTGAGTAGCTGGGACTACAGGCATGAACCACCAACCTGGCTAATTTTTGTATTTTTAGTAGGGTCAGGGTTTCACCATGTTGGCCAGGCTGGTCTTGAACTCCTGACCTCAAGTGATCTACCCAACTTGGCCTCCCAAAGTGCTGGGATTACAGGCATGAGCCACTGTGCCCGGCCTACTTTTTTGTTTTTATCATTACTATTTTTTAGCATGGAATGCTTCATGAATTTGTATATCATGCTTGCGCAAGGGCCATGCTAATCTTCTTTGTATCATTCCAGTTTTTTTTTTAAGTATATGTACTGCTGAAGAGAGCACTGTCTTTTTTTAAACTTTTGCAACCAGTCTGTTAAATGTTCACAGTTCTCTTCAATTTCCAGTTCACTGTGATAGATCTGTTTGTTTCATTATCAGCCTGCCATTAAATGGCATGTATTCACAGCAATGCTGACAAATGCAGTACTTCAATACATGATTGATATCTTCATTTGTAGCTTTATGCAGTATTCTCTTTTTCATTAACTTCTGCTCATCACTTCCAGCACAGAATGTCAACAGCTTACCCTTCTGTTTCTTCAGGTCATATATGGACATTCTAATAGCATACTCTTCTAAAAGACAGTTCACACACCGCTGTCTAGTTTCTCCAACAACTTGACTTTCTATGCTACAGGTAAACATAAATGCTTCCTATTTTTCTTGACACCAACACCCATAGGGGTAGCTGCAGTCCTTTTTGACACTGTCAACACTATCTTCACACCAGACTAAAGAATAAGCGAAGTAATACAGTGAGTAATGCACATAGGCCTGGGGCCCATTTGGGGCATTGTGGGGAACCTGCCATTGGCGCATCTGGCCTATACATGTGCCATTTTATTACCCTTTGTGGGGGTGCTTGGGTGGGGGAATCTGGGTGTGTGCAGAAAAGGTATATTGCAGCTGAAAAGGGCTGGGAGGGTCTTCTATCCCTTGCGATGCAAATAAGCTGTGTTGTGCACCTGCATTTTGACTGCAACCCATCCCATGACACCAGGTGCAGATTTTCTATTTGCGGCATCAGATTGATGCTCAAAGTTTCTAATTTTGGAGCATTTCAAATTTCTGATTTTCAGATTAGGGATGCTTAATCTGTACCACAATTTACTTATCTATTGTCCTGCTGACTGGTATTGGGCGGTTTCCAGTTTAGTTATTATGAATAGTCTTGTACAAAACATTTTTTAAACATACTTTCCCCTCCTCTTGGTAAATATCTAAGAATGGAATTGCTGGGTCCTAGGGTTAGGTGTATAATTTACTTTATAAGAAACTGCCAGATAGATATGAAAAGTGCTTTTATCCATCTTATACTCCCATTAGCAGTGTATAAAAATTCCAATTGCTCCACATTCTTGCCAATATTGGGTATTGCCTTTTAAGTTTTTTCCATTCAACTGGGATTATGGTATAGTGGTATCTTATCATGCTTTTAATTTACATTTACCTGATGCCTAATGATGTTGAGCACTTTTCCATTGTTTATTATTTGTATATCTTGCCTTGTGAAAATGGCCCTTCAAAAATATTTTGCCATTTAAAAAATTGGGTTGTGTCTTTAACTTGAGTTGGAGGAGCTGGTTATATACTCTGGATACCAGTCTCATGCATGTGTATGTTCTGCATATATTTTTTTTCTCCTACACTGTGGCTTATCTACTCTTTTTTAAATAGCATCTTTTGATAAATGGAAATTTTTTTGATTTTGGTGAAATCTATTTTCTCAATTCTTTCCCTTTATGGTTAGTGATTTCAGAATCTTGAAATTTTCTCCTAAGTTTGCTTCAAGAAGTTTTATGGTTTTAGCTTTTATTAATACATTTAGATCTATGACATATTTTGAATTAAGTTTTGTGTATGGTGTGAGGTATGGGTCAAGATTCACTTTTATTCACAAATATAGCCAGTTGTTCTAGCACCAACTTTTGAAAAGCACTTTCTTTACTCACTGAATGCTTTGGTGCCTTAATTGAAGATGAATTAACTGCATAAACATACATTTGGGTGGACTATTTCTGTTCCAATTTATCTATTTGCTTATGGCTATACCAATAACAGACTGTCTTGATTAATGTGGCTTCATGGTTAGTCTGGAAATCAGGTCATGTAAGTCCTCCAACACTGTTCTTTATATGGATTGTTTTGGTTTTCTCCTTTGCAATCTTATAAAAACTTTAGAATCATATTTTCAATTATATAAAAACCTGCTAGGATTTTCACTGGGATTGAATTTAAAGATCAAATTGAGGAGGACGTACACCTTAACAATATTAAGTCTTCATATCCATGAACATGATATAATCCCTTCATTTACTTAGGTTTTCCATCTCTTTCAAGGTAGAGGGCTTCCACATATGTTGTTAAGTTTATAGCTGTGTATTTTATATTTTTAAATGCTATTTTAAGCAGAATCTTTAAGCTTCTTATTTTAAAAGTTTTGTATTTTCAAATGGTTTGTTGCTAGTATATGGAAATACAATTAGTTTTTGTACAGATCTTATACTCTGTAACCTTGCTAAAGTTACTTATCAGTTAAAGTTTCTCTTTTGAAGATTTCTTAGAATTTTTACATAGATAATAATGCCACTTGCCACTAAAAACAATTTTACTTATTTTCTTCATCTTAACACACTGGACCTCCAGTAAAACGTTAGAAAGAAGTGGTTAGAATGGACATCTTGTCCTATTCTTGACTTTACAGGAAATTGGTCCTTCTTTTACTATTAAGTATGTTGTTTGCAGTAAGATTTTTTATATGCCTTTATCATAAGGTTGAGGATGTTTCCTGTTATCCTTGTTTGTTGAACATTTCTATTAAAACTGGATGTTTGTGAAAAAAATATTCTTGGTCAGATAGTGGAAGGTGGAAAAAAAACTGGATGTTGAATATTGATAATGTGGTAAATTACATTGCAAACTAACTTTGTATTTCTAAAATAAATCCCATTTGGTCATGAGTATTATCCTTCTTATACGCTGTCAGATTCTATCTCATGTTTTTTTTTTTTTTTTTTTTTTTTTGAGATGGAGTCTGGCTCTGTTGCCAGGCTGGAGTGCAGTGGCTGGATCTCTGCTCACTGCAACCTCTGCCTCTGAGGGTTCAAGCGATTCTCCTGCCTCAGCCTCCTGAGAAGCTGGGACTACAGGTGCCCACCACCACGCCCTGCTAATTTTTGGTATTTTTAGTGGAGACGAGATTTAATCTTGTTAGCCAGGACAGTCTTGATCTCCTGACCTCATGATCTACCCACCTCAGCCTCCCAAAGTGCTGGGATTACAGGCATGAGCCACCGTGCCCGGCCTCATGTTATTTCCTTAGGAGTTTTTGCATCTACTTTTAGGAGGAGTATCAGTCAGTAATTTTCATTTCTTTTAATGCCATGTCAAATTTGGGTCTCTGGAATATGCTAGTCTAATAAAATGTTGGGAAGCAATTTCCTTTCTTCTGTTTTCTGAAAGTTTGTGTAAGATTGGCATTATTTCTTAAATGTTTGCTAGAATTCACAAGTGAAGACATCTGGGCCTAGAATACACAAAAGACTATTCAGATTTTTATATTTTTTTCTGTGAGTTTTGATAAGTTGTGATGAAATATGTTCACTTCATCTAGGTTGTTGAATTTGTTGACATAAAGTTTGACCATAACATTCCTTAACTAACCTTTTACTATATGAAGGAACTATAAGATAGCTCCTCTTCATTCCCAATATTGGTAATTTATTTCTGCCTTCCCCCCTTTTATTTAACTTTCTTGATTAGTCTAGGTAGGATTTACTGACTTTATTAATCTTTTCAAAGAACCAACTTTTGATGTCATTAATTATTCTCCATTGTTTGTTCATTTTCTGTAGATTTCTGCTTCTTTTTATTTCCTTCATTCTGCTTGAGTTTAATTTGCTCTTCTTTTTCTATCTTCTTAAGTTAGAAGCTTAGGTAATTTATTTTAAACCTTTTTCTTGTTTAGCGTCTAGAACCTTAAATTTCCTTTTAAGCCCTGCTTTAGTCGTATCATACTGACCATGGATCCCTTTTTTTTCTTTCCTGAGGGAAAAAAAGCAATCCTACCGTCTTGGCCTCCCAAAGTGTTGGGATTACAGCATGTGTGCCACCATGCTCAGCTCCCATTATGATGTATTGTATTTTAATTATCGTTCAGATCAAAATATTTTCTAATTTTTCTTTTAATTTCTTCTTTCATCATAGGCTATTTAGAAGTGTGCTATTTAGTTTCAAAATGTATGGGGATCCCCCAGATCTTTGTTACTATTTCTAATTTAATTCTATGAGTAGGTTTATAGCATTACTCAAATCTTCTTTATACTTACTGAAAATTTTTTTTTTTTTTTTTTTGAGATGGAGTCTCGCTGTCTCCCAGGCTGGAGTGCAGTGGCGCGATCTCGGTTCACTGTAGGCTCCGCCCCCGGGGGTTCACGCCATTCTCCTGCCTCAGCCTCTCGAGTAGCTGGGACTACAGGCGCCCGCCACCTTGCCCGGCTAATTTTTTGTATTTTTTTAGTAGAGACGGGGTTTCACTGTGTTAGCCAGGATGGTCTCGATCTCCTGACCTTGTGATCTGCCCGCCTCAGCCTCCCAAAGTGCTGGGATTACAGGCGTGAGCCACCGCGCCCGGCCATCCTTACTGAATTTTTGTCCTCTTGTGTTATTAATTCTTCAGAGAAAAGTGTTGAAATTTCTAGCTATAATTCTGGTAATTTTTGCTTCATGTATTTTAGGTTCTGTTATTAGATACAACATATTTAGGATTTTTATGTCTTCTTGAACTGAACTGACTCTTTTATCTGTATAAAATATCTCTTTATCTCCGGTAATATTACTCCTTGTTCTGAGGACTACTTTGTCTAATAATAGTAAAGCCACTTCAGCCTTATTATAATTGGCATACCTGGAAGTTTTTATGCACATAATGAAGAGGGTAGCTAAATCTCATTAACAAAACATAAATGGTGATTAAAACCCATTGCTCATTAACCTATGTGAAATAGTCTCTGATTAAGAATGTATGTGTATGTAATGATTATTTCATGCACTGACCTCATCAATAAAAGGGATTAACACCACAGCTTCCCATTCCTGTTGTTTCCCATTTAGGTCAGTTTTAAAATCAGGTGGGTAATATTCTATAATTGGTGAGTCTTCATTGGTCATCAAATGCTGTGAAAATATGAAATAGTATAATAGAAATATAAGAACTAATATCAATATAGTTTTTTGTTAATGTATTTATAATATTTCCTCATGTTAGTTTAAAATTTCTAAGCAAAGCAAACTAAATTTTTGTACCTTTGATATGTCACAATATACTTGCTATATTTTGATTTTCAACTATAAGAATTCTGATTTCACTACTACTCATCATTTATACATTTTACTGACTTAGTTATGCAGCAAAGTCATCCTTACTCTCAACATTCATTTTAAATTATTTTTTCTTGTTTTTTCACTCTACAAGACACACAGCTAAATTGTTTTTCTATTCAGACTTCATTTCAGTTCATCTAAAAGGCATCTAGTAGTTCTCTATTTTTAGCCTCAAATTGACAATTTACTTTCATGTCCTGAAGAACTGATTCTATTAAGTAATGTAACATCCAAGATAGTTTAAAATAAAAATATCCTAAAATCCAAGAATCACTGCACCACTAATATCAAAGAGAAATAGTCCAATAACACATTTCTATGACTTTATAACGGAGGTAGACAAAGAAAGCATAAGGAAATAAGGCAGTATACTCTCAGGGTAATATTCAAAATATTTAAAATAACCAGTATGGCATGGGCACTGTACGATAAAACAGACCGTAAAACGCATGGTCATGCTGGTTCAGAGTGGTTGGGTATTAAAGCGTATTGTATCCAAAGGCAGGGAAAAAACAATCAAAGAAACTTACGAAGAAAGGGAAGCCAGGATCAACAACAGTTTAAGGTTCAGAAAGATGCAGAAGGGAGTCTGACACTGCTAAAGAAGTAAAGGGGGTGTGTGTGTCTACTCCAATTCCTGACCAAACCACAGAATTAAAAGAACAGATTGTTACCCTCAAAGAACGATACAAAGTATAACTTCAGAATCACCTTAGTAGGCTTAGCGTAATTTTGGTAACCTTATCAACTCCTGAAATATTTTCCTCCTGTTACATGAAATATGTTAACCAAAGAAAGCTTTTTATTTCACAAATTGATAAATAAAATGTTTAAAAACAAACATATACTGAGGTAGTACTGCTGTTGGGATAAATGACTTATTAGAACCATCCCTATACCAAAATGTAGACAGTAAAGGGAAGAGAAATGAATCTATAAATGTTTAGATAAAGTAGATAGCTTCAGATTTTGTCGGTTTTAGCCTACTTTCTTCAGTGTAGAGACAAATTGAAAATCTGTTTAAAGGTGCTGAAAATGAAGCCAGGCTCTGAATGATTTACGGAGTTTCTTTGCATCTTTAAAACAAAGCTAACTTGAAATCAAAGAATTACTTTTCAAGGGACTTGTTAAAAAAATACTATGGTTTAAAACTGAAAATAACTACTTAGCTACCAAATAAATTTGAGTATTATTGTTTCTAGGTTTGGAGGAAGAGCTTCTAAATATCAAAAAGGACATAAAAACATTCAATTCTAAGACCCACCTGGTAGCATGCAGGAAGTAAATTTTTGCTGGCTGCTGGAAGTACAGCAAGAAGCTGTTCAAATGGCTTAAAAGGTTTTCCTAGTTCAAAATGGATTTTGAGTGTACTGATGTTGTGTATATCAGACAGGAAAGGTGCATAATGATAAGGATAATACCTATAAAACAAAACTGAGTTTTAAACAAGTGGCATCTTTATGAATTAGGTTAATAATAAACATATACTTTTCCCCATATTTTAACAACATATAAAAATAATTTTAAAAAATTAGTACTGCCCATAATTCTACTATCTGAATATAAGAAATTAGCAGTGTTGGAAAATTTAGGTCATCCGATGGCAACAAATGTTACATTTCCTGAATTTTTTTTTTTTTTTTGAGACAGAGTCTCGCTCTGTTGCCCAGGCTGGAGTGCAGTGGCGCGATCCTGGCTCACTGCAAGCTCCACCTCCCGGGCTCAGGCCATTCTGCTGCCTCAGCCTCCCAAATAGCTGGGACTACAGGCGCCTGCCACTATGCCAGGCTAATTTTTTGTATTTTTAGTAGAGACGGGGTTTCACCTTGTTAGCCAGGATGGTCTCAATCTCCTGATCTCGTGATCCGCCCGCCTCGGCCTCCCAAAGTGCTGGGATTACAGGCGTAAGCCACTGCGCCTGGCCTATTTCCTGAATTTTTAAAGTGTGGTTTCACATTTCTGAAATTGGGATGAATCAGGTAATTGAAAAACACGTATAATGTAATGCTTTTTTTAATTCTCAAAATGTTGATAGTGAATCTTCCAATCAATAGATTGAACCAGAAATAATGAGGTAGTCAGAAGACTTTCAGTTTGGTCACTTGAGCCTGGATCATTTAAGCAAGAGACTAAAAACAGTTGAACGTTCTGGTAAAAGCTCACAAGGAGAGGAAGAAAAGTGAGTCTGAGGTTATCTGGCCATTACCAGTCAGATCTAAGAACTTTTATCTTTGAATTAGCATGCTTATTATTGTATTTGTGATAAGGATGAAACCATGTATCGATCACATACACTAATTGTTTTTGTTTTTATTACCTTCTCATCTTAATTACAGGTATAAATATTTTATAAAGCTTTGAACAAACAATTTTTAAAAATTTCAATATGCTTCTAATGTTTGAGTCAGGATACCAAAAACATTGAAATGTTTTTGTATTCCATAATTATGGCGTACATTTCAAAAAAAATGGAGGAGTTTAGGAGGCCAAGTGCCATGTGGAATAGAAAAAGGGTAGACTTTGGAATCAGACAGGCTTTGACTTAATTCTTGGGTGTATAATCTTTAGGAAGATTACCTAACCTTTCTCAACCTTTCAGAGCCTCAATTTCTTCATCTGTAAAAGGGAGAAAACAATGTTTACTTTAAATAGTTGTGAAGATTATGTGAGAGCATGCTTTTTATGTGCTTGGCCTTAATGTAAGTTACAACAGGAATAACTTACATTCACACTATTTTAAAAATGGCAAATCAAGGATTTTCTTCATGAGATTGCTCCTCAGAGAGGCCCTGAGAATCAGGTGATTATAAAACTTTTTTCAAAGGCTTTATGTAGTAAGTGAAACCATAATTAATGTCACATTATTTTGCACTGGTTTGTATTGCTAGATGGAGCTCTGAAACAGAGCCTAGCACAGGTGCTTTGAACAAAACCAAACCAAACAGAGTTGTGTTATCATCTAAAAGTCTCTAGTATTCACTGTATCATTTTTTGGTTTTTAATTTTTCTACTTTGGTGGATGGTTTGAAAATGCAGATGGGATTTGCTAGAATAGGAAACATGAGAAATAAAATGATTACTATTCTCCATAAAAGCAAATAATTGGGAGGCTGAGGTATGATAATTGCTTGAACCCGGGAAGGGGAGGTTGCAGCAGTGAGCCAAGACTGCACCACTGCACCCTAGCCTTGCTGACAGAACGAGACTCTGTCTCAAAAAAAAAAAGAACTCCTTTCTCTTTTCTTCTTCACCTTTCTAGCCCTTCCTAGAAGTAAGCCCATTTTTCAATGATTATTCTGTTTATTTATTTATTTATTTATTTGAGAGACAGAGTCTTGTTCTGCTGCCCAAGCTGGAGTGCAGTGGTGCGATCTCAGCTCAGCTCAATTGCAGCCTCTGCCTCCAAAGTTCAAGCGATTCTCCAGCCTCAGCCTCCCAAGTAGCTGGGACTACAGAGGCACACCACCATGCCCAGCTAATTTTTGTATTTTTAGTAGAGATGGGGTTTCACCATGTTGGCCAGGCTAGTCTCAAAACTCTTGACCTCAAGTGATCTGCCCACCTTGGCCTCCCAAAGCGATGGGATTAGAGGCATGAGCCACTGTGCCCGAACACTTCAATAATTATTCTTGATAGAGAATTTTTTAGCAAACACAAAAAATGTAAAGAGAATATAATGAACACCCTCACATAACCATCACTCAAACCCAGTAATTATCAAGACTTTGCCAAACTTGACTAACTTTGATAGAGAACATTAAATCTTTACATTAACTAAGACCTCTTATTATGAGCCTTCTGTTAGGGCTGGAGAAAATATTACCTATGTTTCATTTAAACCTGGTTGTATGGAACTTTTAAAAAATTACCATAAGTAGAGGCCGGGTGCAGTGACTCATGCCTGTAATCCTAGCACTTTGGGAGGTCAAGGTGGGCGGATCACCTGAGGTCAGGAGTTCGAGACTAGCCTGGCCAACATGGCGAAACACCATCTCTACTAAAAATATAAAAATTAGCTGGCCGTGGTGGCGCATGCCTGTAATCCCAGCTACTCAGGGGGTTGAGGCAGAATTGCTTGAACCCAGGAGGCGGAGATTGCAATGAGCCGAGATCATGCCACTGCACTCCAGCCTGGGCAACAGAGTGAAAAAAAAAAAAAAAAAAAAATTACCATAAGTAGAAATAAAAGGAAGTGCTTCCTAAATAAGACTCTAGTAGAATGAATCATTATAAAAAGACAAAACTTTATTTTTGTTTTTATTCTCTCACCAGCTCCAGGACTGAACTCCATGATAGTAATAGTGCAAAATCCACTGTATTGCCTGAACATAACATGCAGCTTGATCAGCCAGAAAGTCACTGAAAATAGAATATTTTCATTATAACATATTTTCTGAAGACAGGCCCGTGTCTTTAGAGCACGGTATCTGCTGATACAACATTTTACCTCAGATGATTTATTTAATCAATGAATTAGCTATTTATGGCTAAAAATTATAATCCTAAAAACTCCAAAATATTTTTAAAAATTACATCCTGTCACATGACAGTTTTCCTAAACCAACTATCAAAATAGATAAGTCTGTTATTCATATTTACTCAGTTAATGTACCACTCCCTTGGTCCAAAGGTTGAAGATTTACCCAATGAAGCTTTCCATAGTGACACTACCACTCTCTTAAATAGTGGGGGTGAGACGGGAGAAAGGGATGGGAATCTTCTTTACATGGGATGATATCTGAGAGAAGCAAAGCAGCAAATCAGGAAGATCTTAAAATTTGGTCACAGAAGCTAGAATGCTTTCAGAAGTGCTGTATGTGAACAATATTCCTTCTAATCCTTTCTTTGTCAAAAACCAAATGCCATCTTCTAAGTTTGGGTAAAATAAGTCTTCAAATCATCAAAACAAAACAAAACAGAGCCCTGGGCTAAAGGCAAAAATATTCACTTAGAAATTACATAACTACATATTTCTGGGAGGTAGTTTTTTAATATGAAAAATATTGCTTTTTTATTATAAAAGAACTATTTCCTCAGGAGTGAAAATCTGGACAATGAAGAACAGCATTTTTATCATCTTATAGCCATCACTTTTACATTTTTAGTGTTTCAGTCTTTTATCTATATCTAGGTTTTTTTAAGGTTAATGAGAGCATACTGTATGTATGATTTCATGTCTTGCCTTTACAATTTGTACTTAATAATGTACTATAAGCATCCTTCCAAATTGTTATGAACTTTCTGCAAGTACCAGTTTAGCAGTTCTGCAGATTCCGGAGATGGAAGAGGTGACAGAGATGGTGACTGTAATGAAGAAGCAGTGGCCAATTATGATGAACCTTCTTATTGGACATTTAGATTATTTCTAATTTTTTTACTATTATAAACAACTTTGTAACAAAAATCCTTATACATAAGGATCATTTTCTCTTCAGCAATTTTTATCACAGGAATATAATACAAGTCAGAATTAATACCATCTTCTCCAAAACCAGACTAGTTGAAACATACACAATAATTCATGAAACCAAAAAATCCTTTTTCTCCCACTACTTCATCAAAATCATATTTTCTGAATAACTGCAAAATCTAATTTTTTCTATTTTAAAATAAAAGCATTGGCAAAAACGTACTCAGATACTACGTCAACCCCCATCTTCGTCATGTAATATGTTCTTTTATATTGTCTAAACTCAGTTTCAAATAGGTCATCATCTTCAGTCTCATCTTCTAAATTATCTGGGGAAAAAAGTCAGAAAGATAGTGACTGACAATTATGAATAGCCTGTTTTTCCACCTAATGATTTGATAAATGCATATCCAAGTTGATGCTTATATGCTATCACAGAAATCTGTTCCACCCAAAATTAGTAATAATAAATAAAAGGTATAACAATTATCCTGTCAAAGTAGTAACATATCAAAACACATACTTCATACTTACCCTTAGAAGTTATCATTTCGCCTTCATTTTTGTCTAAAGCAGTCCAACACAGAGAATTTTCCTGGCCCTGTAAATTGTAAATCAACATAAAATGAATGGCAAGATACATTTCAAAATGAGATGTCATTTCTCTTCCATGCACCCATTTGCTTTTCTATAGTTCTTCCATGTTATAACATCCTTCATATCCTGCCCATCTGTTTTTCCTCCCTTGTGATCTCAATCCTTTCTCTCCTCTATTCTCTGATTTCCTGTCTACTGCCAATGACTCTCTTTAGTTCTTCCTACTCCCTTATCCCCATTTCCTTTCTTTCATCCAACTTATGGCCTCTACCAACTTCCTGTGTCTGGGCTATTCCTGCACAGTGTCTCTAAAGTTAGCTGCATATGGCTGGAAGACTGGTGAAGTTTAAGTACTGAATTGTGGTGGGGGAGCCAGGGATTACTGACAGGTAAGTTTTGTGTGTACAGGTTCCCAAAAAGTTGCAGAGCCCGTTTTCTTAGGGGGGGAAAAAAAAAGACACACACACACACACAAAAACCAGTGGAATGCAGACTGACTGCTGCCAAGTTCCAGTGAGGAAGAGCTAAGCAGCGAGAAGGACTACACTAGAGAAAACAAGGACAGTTGCCCCTCCTGGAGCAAGAGTCATTAAGTTTGAACCTAAATAGAACCAGTACAGCAAGGAGAGTAAGAAGCTCAACAGAATCTTGGCCGGGCACGGTGGCTCACGCCTGTAATCCCAGGACTTAAGGGAGGCCAAGGTGGGCAGATCACGAGGTCAGGAGTTCGAGACCAGCATTACCAACATAGTGAAACCCCGTCTCTACTAAAAATACAAAAATTAGCTGGGTGGTGGCGCGCACCTCTAATCCCAGGTACTCAGGAGGCTGAGGCAGGGGAATTCAAGCGAACCCAGGAGGTAGAGGTTGCAGTGAGCCAAGATCGCGCCACTGCACTCCAGCCTGAGTGACAGAGTGACATGCTGTCTCCAAAAAAAAAAAAAAGAAACTCAGCAGAATCCAATAATTACAGAGAGGCTGAAGAATTTTTCACAAGAGGTTTACTTTTCAAGTTAACACAAGACATTCTTTGGAGATTATCAGAGATGCTCTGCAGGGTACTATCATATTCTAATTGATTCTATTATTCATTTATTAAGCACATAACATTTACTAGATATTGTGCTATTAGGCTGGCACAAAAGTAATTGTGGTTTTTGCCATTACTATTAACTTAGACTATTGTATTTTATATGTAAATCATTTCTAGAGAAAAATCACTGATCTAGTTAATGTCTCATATCATTAAACACTATAAATATCCACATTTTAAAAACTAGTCCATTGTTTTAAAATAACAATTTTTTTTTAATTAAAAAAAAATTGCCAGGGGAAAGTGTGAATGCAGTCCTCCACTACCATAAGTCACGCAGTTCAGTTTCCCACATTTGGCGAAATCGCAGGGCATCAGCACATCCAGAGTGCAATGGATAAACCTCGCCCTGGGAAAACTACCTTCATGATCATGGTATCCTCCCTGTCAGGTTTTAAATAATTGTTTTTCTTTTTTATGAGACAGAGTCTCACTCTATCAGCCAGGCTGGAGTGCAGTGGCTCAGTCTTGGCTCACTGCAACCTCTGTCTCCCAGGTTCAAGTGATTCTCGTGCCTCAGCCTCCCAAGTAGCTGGGATTACAGGTGTGTGCCACCACATCCAACTAATTTCTGTTTTTTTAGTAGAGATGGGGTTTCGCCACGTTGGCCAGGCTGGTCTCAAACTCCTGACCTCAGGTAATCCACCCATTTTGCCTCCCAAAGTGCTGGGATTACAGGTGTGAGCCACTGCACCTGGCCTTAAATAATTGTTTTTAATAACATGTTTTAAGTAATTTTTTTAAAAAGCCCAGAAAATAATTCATTTTCTGGGCTTTTATGTTTAGAAATGTTTTCCACATTTATTAACATAAAACACAATGTACCTCTTCAACAGTAAAAATAAGGAACTGATTATTGAAGATCTCATTAAATGACAGAAGCTAATAGAAAAAAAGAAACCAAATCAATTTCTGAAATGCCTATAGAGAGGAAGAGAAATAAAACGAGGCAATCCCAAATCATAAGAAGGAAAATGAGAAACAAAGAATATAATTTTTGCCTTTACAGTTAAAACAATGAAAGGACACCTAAAAAAATAGACACCTTTAACTTTTTCTTTTCCTTGTAGTTCCTGGCTTCTTCTGCTGCGACACCTGCTGCTTCATTGAGGTACTTGTTACCAACTTTGCTTTCAAACCATTTTAGGTCCACAAAAACTTCACTGAAGTGCTCCCGATCAAACTGTACAGAAATATTTAAATTTATTTTTAAATAATTTAAGTATATCTAGAAGAATACAAATCAAACTTAAAACAGTGACTACTACTGGGGTATAGGAAATTGGAGAATGTTACTCTTTTATATATATGGGAGACCTCATGTGTTACTCTAAAAATACAAATAGAAAGCAAATAAAAATAAAATTAATTTAGGTAAAAGTGTTTATATTGAATAAGCAATTGGAATAGAATTATAAAACCCCTTTCTTCTGGTATTACATAATTGGTGACTGATCATTTACAGCTACTCTGCGACAGGAAACCAAAAATTTCTAGTTACTTACATCTGATAGTTTCACAAGGTATTTCTCAAATCGAGGTAAGTTGAGGTGCCCACTTTCATTAATATAACCTAAAAGAAACAAAAATTTAAATCTGTACTAAAAGCTGACATTTTTTCTAAACAATTCTACAAAACTCTTTCTACAAAATGTTGAATGTTCATGTTCTACAGTACTAATCAAGAAAAAACAGTGTTGGACTATATCCAAACTGGCCCTAGTTTCTGTGAATTTTATGCTACTATAATATGCAACATGTAAGCACCAAAGCCAAATATAAGAAATTCCAGGTTCCACATAATAATCCAACATTTGGTAACAATTAATTAAATTAAATATGGTCTATAATCTATCTAGATCATTTAATATGATATGTTAACTTAAGGACTGATGTTCTGCTACCCTGTGGTCTGTTTTATTTGGCATCACTATGTTTGTCAATTTTCTGTTTTCATTGAAAAATCACTGCTTCATAATAAACACTGTGATGCATATCCATTCGAAAAAAATTGAATTTCTATGCTTAAATATGAAAAAAGTAAAACCAATAAAGTATGCTGGCTTTCTTAAGGAATTAAAGGCAAAGATTAGACCGGGTGTGGTGGCTCATGCCTGTAATCCCAGCACTTTGGGAAGCCAGATCACTTGAGGCCGAAGTTTGAGACCAGCCTGGTCAATATGGTAAAACCCCATCTCCACTAAAAATATAGAACTTAGCTGGGCATGGTGACACATGCCTGTAATCCCAGCTACTCAGGAGGCAGAGGCATGGGCATAGCTTGAATCCAGAAGGCAAACGTTGCACTGTCGCCACTGCACTCCAGCCTGGGCAACAGAGCAAGACCCCGTCTCAAAAAATAAATAAATAATAAAAAAAAGGCAAAGATTAGTTAGATATCAATAATTGAGGTTCGTTAACTCTGTTCACTTTCTTTCCTTGTGAATCACTGAAAATGACAACCTCAGAGGTTAGCACCTTAGACCAAAATAAATCCTCAATGTTTTTCTGCTTTAGCGTGCATGCAATAATCTACTAAACTAAGTCACATTTTTAGGGTAAGGTGGCACTAAATTAAAGTATCCTCGAGAGATTATTAAATTCTTCTTACCCCCAAGTTCTGGCAGGATGGTAACATATGTTCCATAAAGAAGAGGCAGTGCATCATGATTAATATGTAAATGAGGTAGATGAGGGATAAAATCATTACCAACAAGAAACCCCATCAAAATCCAATCATCTATTATCCTTTCAATATCATATTTAAATGTGATCTTTTCCTACAGTAAAATAGAGAACAAAGTCAAATCCAGTGAAAATTTCTGCAATGGAAATCCTTGGTCCATGGCTTTATTAATACTTACTTTTAATACTGAAAACTCATAGTCAATATACTCTCTCATTAAAGACAAGTGTAGAAGGTGAAATGTAGTTTCTTCTGGAGCACATACCCTGGAATTAGTCAGATGATCAAGATACAGTGAATTTTATTTTTAAGGTCCCAGCTTAAAAATGTAACAAAGCTTAAATCAAAAGTATCATCAGAAGATAGTAAGGTCTTGTAATTAAGGCATACAATTTATATGAAGGTTGCAGGGTAACAAAGATAAAAATACAATTGCAATAATAGATAATACATGTTAAAGTTCAAAACAATTGGTTTACATTATGTGTTCTGTGGAAGGATTCTCAGAATTAAGAAGTCCTAAATAACATATAGTAGAAGTAAGAAACTACTGAGATCTGGCCCATTTAAGGCTGGTCTTTTCAACAAATAATGCAAGGAAGATTGGATATCCACATGCAAAAGAATGAAGTTGGGCCCTTACCTTACACTACACACTAAAATTAACTCAAAATGAATCAAAGATCTAACCATAAAAGTTAAAACTTGAAAACTCCTAAAAAAAGAAGAATAAATGAGTTGGATTATAACAAAATTAAAAACGTTTGTGCATCAAAGGACACTATCAACATAGTGAAAAGGCAACCTACGGAATGAGATAAAGTATTTACAAACATGTATCTGTTAAAGAATTACTATCCAGGCGTAATTTCTTTCTTCCAACATATATGCTATATAATTTACCGTTGTGTTTTTTTGCCACCAAATCGAACTTCTTCTCTTAAGAGAGAAAAATGTGCCTCATGACTTGTTAATCCAAGCATAATCTGTTGAAAAATGATTAAGAAATGTTTTTATTCTCCCATTTTTAATAATATTAGGTTCACAAAAGCAATTAAAAAACAATTCTATACAAGGAAGAATAAGAAACAATTAGCACATTAAATATACAAATAACAAAATATGATCTATTTGTAGGTAATGAATGAGATAAAGTGTACTTTTCTAAGAAAAATATGTTCACCTTAGCTCACATGCTTTTCATAACCATTACCCTATCCCCTGTCCCCTCTCCTCTTCCTATCCCTCCAAATCCCAAACATCTTCTCTTGGTTTTCACATATTTCTACTTGCCGTGGGGGAACTGGTTAGAAATTAGAGGCAGCAGCTTTTCTATGACCAAAGAATGCAGGACTCTTTTGGAGACCAGGATAGCCCCAGTATATGAAAACTCAGGAAAAAAAAAAATGGAAAAGAGCACTTCCAGTTAATTTTCTCACATAGTATCTTTTTTTTTTGAGACAGAGTCTCGCTCTGTTGCCCAGGCTGGAGCAGTGGCGCGATCTTGGCTCACTGCAACCTCCACCTCCCAGGTTCAAGCAATTCTCCCTGCCTCAGCCTCCAGAGTAGCTGGGATTACAGGTATCTGCCTCTATGCCTGGCTAATTTTTGTATTTTTTAGTAGAGATGGGGTTTAGCCATGTTGGCCAGGCTGGTCTTGAACTCCTGACCTTAGATGATCTGGCCGCCTCGGCCTCCCAAAGAGATGGGATTACAGGCATGAGCCACCTTGCCCGGCCTCTCACACAGTATTCTAATACCCCAAGTAAGTCAACAGTCTGTTGACACATATCAATCAAACGCCATGTACTTGCATACTGTTTATTTCAATCTTGATTCAAACAAGAAAACAAAATGAAACATTTATGAGGCAATCAGGGAAATGATAATACTAACTGGTTATTTCTATATTAAGAAAAGGTTAATTTCTGTTTTAGGTGGGATGATGGCATTGTGGTTATATATTTTTTCTTAAAAAAACACCTTAATCCTTTAGAGAAACATTATGAAACATATACAAATTAATGATAAAATGTTTAGGATTTGCTTTAATAATCGGGCGGGGAGTGGGTAGGAGGGAGAGGAGACAGATGATTAGGGGTAGAAATTTAAAATTATTTAAGTTAGATGAAGGGTATACGATGTTCATTATATTACCTTTTCTATTTTTGTTTATGCTTGAAAATTTCCATAATAAAAAGTTAATGCCAAAAAGTCTACTAAAGGTATCTGGAGCATGGAGTTTTCAGATAAGGAGGTATTAAAAGCCAAGTATTAAGCCTGAGGGTAAAAAAGCAGCCCCATTTCTCTGACCTTGGCAAAGTATTCACAGCACTAGGATTAGTCACACCTGTAGACTAATTATAGAGATCTGTTGGTCAATAAACTATGGTTAAAAAGCTCATTTTCCAATGATTTTTAGAAATTTGGTAATGATAGAAGTAGCAATCATTATTGTGTCTCCAATATTTGTTGCCACAGCCAGTAAGCTTCCTGTACAAAATGAAATCTCTTAGATATTTAACTATCAATGCATAAGTTTATAATAATAAAAATTATACCTACCAAGTCAGCATCTAAACCATAAAGACAGTGTCTGGTGTTTGGATCATGATCTGGCTTTGCTTTCTCGGATCTGATAAATTCCATGATTTTATGCTCTCCTTCTCCAGGAGTCTAAATAAAATTGTTTTTAAAAATGCAGTAATATGGTATATGCTTGAGAATATTAAATACTTTTTTTAAACTCTTTAAATAAAAAAAGATAATAACCTCATGGCCTGAGAAGTAGATGGTAACTCCTTGCCATGACTTGTCTGTGGAAATTTTCATATTTACAAAATACTTCAGATGTTCATGTAACCTGGCCATAAATTCAGTTCCTAAAAATAATGTTTTAAAAAGGTTAATCTAAGAAAGACATAAAAACATTAAGTTCTCAGTGACAACACATAACTGAATCTGAGTACGCCGGGAATAGCTAGGTAGGTATAGGATCTCCAAAGAAGGTCAAAAGCTCTCTTGCTTATCCTGAAAAACAAGTAATGTACTTTTCCCTTGCAAATATCACAACTGTTTCTAATGTCACTAGTCCCCCTAAATAGAATCAGTGTCACACAGGGAAAGTCAAGGAATTTTACTAGTGTCTCAGCACTGTGCTTCAGGAATTTTCATGTAAGGGCAGAGTTTGAGATCTCTAATGAACCTCAACCTTCTATTTCTTCTGCTGAATTCTGAAGGTTTTTTTTTTTAAGGCTTGCAGCTTAAATCAGATTGTCAATAATAATAATAATATTACTACTGAAATTATTATTCTGAAAAATTATTATTAATTTGGAACCTGAGTCTACAATGATTACATTTTGGGAAAGGCTCAGATGGTCAACAGTCAAAAGCAATACAGTCTAAAACCACAATCAGGATAAAACCGGTTGTTAAACTGAGCAATGTGTGACCAATGCACTTAAAGAAAGGGCAAATTACCACTGTTAGTAAAGAACTGATGAGAAAGTTAGATTTTAAGATTTTCATTCAAAGTAAAGAATTATATGATGTTAGACAAAGGTTGTAGAAGTATATAGAGTATGCTGCTGCATACAAAATTAAACATAATACTGATAAATTCATTTTCCTTAAAGTCATAAAAATCTTAACTAATTTTGAGAAGCAGAGTAGTAAGTGCCCTGGACTAGGAGAATCAGTTTCTTACTCTGACTACCACAATCTAGCTACATCAACTTGATAAGCTACAACCTCACTGAGTCTGTTTTAACATAAATAAATGGCAGGAATAGGACAGAAAGATATATAAACATAAGTTTCTTCAAGGTCTGCAATTCTGTCCACCTGGGAGATTCCTGTCCATATCTGCTCTAATTTATCTACATCTGAAAATCCCTACAGTTTTTGTAGGAGTATTTATGACCAAGGTGACCAAATCGTCTCATGAGCAAACATAAGTGGGAAAATACAGTAAATGGAACCCTAAGGCCAAAATAAATAGAGCATAGAAAATAAAATACATTTAAAAACCAAGTTTTCAATTTATATTTCAATTCTGTCATAATTTGTCTCTCAGTGAATTTACCTGGTGTGATACAGTTGGAATCAAATCTGGCCTCTGTAGGAAGAGTTTCTCCCTTCTCTATTGCCTTTTTAATTTTGTCTTCTGCCTCCTTTGCTGACCTTAAAGGTTAAGGGAAAAAAGTACCTTAAGTTTTCTGAAAAAAAGTGAAGATCTTTATATAAACTGCTATGTAGGTGCCTTTATAACTAAAATAGTAATTCACCAGTTTTAACGTTCAAAACATACAAGTTTTGAAATGATTATGATTGATAAAAATGAGCCCCAGACTTGTCTGTTTTGTTTATTTAAAGAATTGAATTTTTCAGGCCAGGTGCAGTGGCTCATGCCTGTAATCTCAATATTTTGGGAGGCCAAGGTGGGAAGAACAATTGAGTCTAGGAGTTCAAGACCAGCTTGGGCAACAAAGCAAGATCCCATCTCTACAAAAATAAAAAAAATTATTAGCCAGGTACAGGGGCATGTGCCTATAGTCTCAGCTAGTTGGGAGGCTGAGGCAAAAGGATCCCTTGAGCCCAGGAGCTCAAGATTGCAATGAGTGATGATTGTACCCACTGCACTCCAGGCTGTGTGACACAGTGAGTCTCTGTCTCATTTAAAAAAAAAAAAATTGAATTTTTCGGATTAGGAATACAGAAGTAGAACATTTTAACAGAATGTTAAAAACATAAAATAATTATTGTCACAAATATATGGCAAATTCATTCTAAAAATAAGATCAAAAGTATAGCTTTAAATGTTCATTATATATACTACATCTAATGATAATGACATTTAATGATCTTAATCATCATTTAATGTATACATTTAAGATCATTAAAATTATCCCTAAGATTATATAAAAATGCAATTATAAAATTGAAATATCTATCTTTGTGTTTCCTAAAAACATTTAAAATGAAAGCCTAATGACATTAATGAAATCAACTGCAAAATCATCACATTTTTGAGGCAACAGAATTTACTAGAAAGAACCTGAGTTTTACAGTCAGGCAAACCTGGATTTGAATATGGGTGTCCTACTACCTGCCTGACTTCTACTGCCACCCCTTTGCAGCGTACCAGCATGCCACATGGCATACAAGTTAGGAAGCTCTGCTTTGAGTATAGTTTCTACAGCCTTGCTACTAGCTTCATCTACTGTGCCCCACACAATTCTATTTCTGTGATGAACAAACTCTTCTTCAAGTTTAACTTCTCTCTCACCAACCTCTTTAACATAACAAAAACTCTGAGGATATCAACTTGTTTGTATTATCTGCAATGTCTTCTTTCCTCTTTTCTTCCCTTCCTTCTTTGGCTGACCAAACGATTATTCAATGTTGTTATGTCACAAGGTCTTGGGATATAACAAAAGAGAAATTATTCTTGGCCAGGTGCGGTGGCTCACACCTGTAATCCCAGCACTTTGGGAGGCCAAGGCAGGTGGATTACCTAAGGTCAGGAGTTTGAGACCAGCCTGGCCAACATGGTGAAACCCCATCTCTGTTAAAAATACAAAAAGAATTAGCCGGGTGTGGTGGTGCGGCCTGTAGTCCCAGCTACTTGGGAGGCTGAGACAGGAGATTCGCTTGAACCCAGGGGGCAGAGGCCATAGTGAGCCGAGATCACATCACTGCACTCCAGCTTGGGCGAGACAGAGCAAGACTCTCCAAAAAAAAAAAAAAAAAAAAATTATTTCTGTTCTGAGATTACACTCTAGTGGGGAGGTAGAAAATTAAACAGCCATAATGTTTAATCTGGATGCAATAAAGAAAATGTTTGACAGGAACAAGGTAAGACTATTGAAGTAATCTAGATTAAGATAATGGTAGTCTAGGCTGAGACAGTAGCATTAAAGATGAAAAGAAGTAGACAGATGTGACAAATTTGAGACTGGATAAAGAGGACTGGATGTGAGGAATGAGGAAGAGCAAGAAGTCCAAATAACTCTTGGACTTTTGGATTAGGTAGCTAGTGGCAGGTGTTGCCATTCATTGAAATAGGAAACACAGAAGGCAGACTGTTTTAAGGGGAAGATGAGTTCAGTTCTAAATATGTTAACCCTGAAGTATATCTGGGGTTTCCAAAAGGAGACATTTAGTAGGCATTTGGATATATAGGAGCTTAGGAGAAAGCGATCCACCAGAAAGATAAATTTGGAGTCATCAGCAGAGACATAGTAATCAAAGCCATTGGATGAAATCACTCAGAGCCTAGGACAGAAACTTAAGAAACATTAATATTTAAGAAACACAAAGGAAGAAAAGAAGACAAGGAGACTAAGAAAGTACAAAGAGAGAATGTGGTTACATGATGGTCAAGGAAAGGGAGAAGCTCAAGAAAGAATGGTCAACATTGTTAAATGCTGTGGATAAATGAAATAAGTTGAAGAAAGAAGTATTCTTTGGATTTAGCCATAATCTTTTTTTTTTTTTTTTTTTTTGAGACAGAGTTTCACTCTGTCGCCCAGGCTGGAGTGCAGTGGTGTGATCTCAGCTCACTGCATCCTCCGCCTCCTGGGTTTAAGCAATTCTCTGCCTCACCCTCCCGAGTAGCTGGGATTACAGGCGACCACCACCACACCTGGCTAATTGTTTTTGTATTTTTAGTAGAGACGGGGTTTCACCACCTTGGCTAGGCTGATCTTGAACTCCTGACCTTGTGATCCACCCGCCTGGGCCTCCCAAAGTGCTGGGATTACAGGTGCGAGCCACCACGCCCGGCCTGGATTTAGCCGTAATCTTGTCAGGAAATTTTAGTGGCATGGTGGGGATAAAAGAAGGCAGATTTAGAAATAAGTAAAACAGGGAATTATGAATGGAGAAGGTCATCACTGTAGAGAATGGCAGAAAACTGACTAGGGGATTTCTAGGAAAAATGTAGTGCTCAATACCAGCACAGTATTTAATAAATGCTTGTGGTGGTTATAATGCATTGGCCCTCAACTTCCATTCCATTTCCTTTTAGTTTACCTTCTGACACCAGGTAGGTTAGAAAGTTCTCAGGCTTCCCTGAAGCTAAGTGTCTTCATATGACTCAGATTTTGCCAATTAGATGCCTCCATATAAGGTTTGGAAAGTGGAAGTGTGGTGGTGCCTGCATCACAATTGAGGCACTGGAGCTCTAGTATGTCTGTATATTTCAGCAATGGTAAAGAAGATCCCAGTATTCAGTATCTTTAGAGGTGCTGATAAGCAAGGAACAGGGAATCAGTTTTTTTCAGTGCAGATCTAGCAGGTGCACTGTAGCTCTGGAACAGATGCAGCTGTAGCTTCCTAATTGCTGAATTGTAACTATAGTGATGTATTCTTAGAGCCCCAAGTGACAGCTTCTTAATTATTGGATCACAGATAAAGGAGTAAGTTCCCGAAACCACCCATTTTGGTAGGGGGCTCTGAACTCCTCACGTTACCTGAATGTGGTAATAGTTCTGCCACTGGTGAGTCAGTTCTGTAGTGCTGTTTGGGAAGTTATCCCTTACGGCTCACCTAGATTCCCGCCCTTTTGGCTTTACAGTGATTTTTATAAACACCCAATTCCCTGAATTACACCCCTTTTTGTCTGAAATAGCTAGAGTGCTTTCTATCACCTGCAACTGAACCCAGACTGATGTAGTAGGTTTATAAAATCCCTCCTTAACACTAGATCTTCTAGGCTAGTGGCTCCCAAAAACTACTTTAACAAATACCAGGGGAGTATGGTAAAAAATAGTTCCCAGGAGTTTCTCAACTACTAGAGATTCTGATAGAGTAAGTCTTGGGTGGTATTTGAGAATTTAAATATTACTCAGAGATGGCCCTTGCCTTCAAAGATCTCACAGTCTTTCTAAAAATTTCAGTATCTTTTTTCTTTTGATATTGAAATCAGTACTTTTTGCCATCCTCTTCCTCTCACCGGCAGCCTTCTTCAAAGCACCGTCCCACCTTCTTTGATGACTTCCACATTGGATGTGCAGATGGTCTTTCCACTCCTTTACTTGCCATTATGATTGAAGGACTCATTATGCTAATGACCCGTCAAACACTCTCCACTAGGGATTTCTTGCCTTCAATTCTAACCTTTACTTCTGTTACCCATGAACCGGGACACAGCCTGATCTCACTGTTACACAGAAATATTCCACATGTCCAGGAATGAACTTTAAAATCCTAGTGTGTAACCTCTTCTCATCCTTTTACTTCTCCTACCGCCTAAGTCACACAGTGGTGCTGATAATACCCTGAATTTCCTAACTTAGCTCACTTCTCACAGTCCATCAATTGCATTCTGATCTCACTTGCCTTTCTGCCCAATCTGGACTTATGCTCAGTCAAAAATCAGCATCTAACCCAGAGTCTGGGCATTCAATACACGTTTGTTGAATTAAGTGTCAATAATGTTCTCATTAGAAGAACCTCTTAGTTCACTTTCTAGTTACCATCCCAGGGCAGACTACTATTGGAGCTTTTCTCTACTACAGTACTATCATTTGCAAATTATCAATGAGAAGTATAAAAACTTGTGACAGAAAACAAAAGTGTGACTTTATAAGCAAGGAACAGGGAATCAGTTTTTTTCAGTACAGATCTAGCAACTGCACTGTAGCTTGGGAACTAACAGATGCAGCAGTAGCTTCCTAATTGCTGAACTGTAACTACAGTGATGTATTCTTAGAGCCCCAGGTGACACCAAAACCTGGCCAGACGTGGTGGCTCACACCTGTAATCCCAGCACTTTGGGAGGCCAAGGTAGGCAGATCACTTGAGGTCAGGAGTTCAAGACCAGCCTGGCCAACAGAGTGAAACCCTGTCTCTATTAAAAATATTAAAAATTGGCTGGGCACGGTGGCTCACACCTGTAATCCCAGCACTGTGGGAGGCTGAGGTGGGTGGCTCACCTGAGGTGAGGAGTTTGAGATCAGCCTGGCCAACGTGGTGAAACTCCGTCTCTACTAAAAATACAAAAATTAGCTGGGTGTGGTGGCGGGCACCTGTAATCACAGCTACTTGGGAGGCTGAGGCAGGAGAATCACTTGTGCCTGGGAGGCGGAGGTTGTAATGAGCCGAGATCGCGCCACTGCACTCCAGCCTGGGCGACAAGAGCAAAACTCCATCTCAAAAAAAAAATTATATATAATATTAAAAAATATATATATTATATATAATATATTATATTATATATATTATATATAATATATATATTATATATATAAATATATATAATATAATATATTGTATATATTATATAATATATTATATATAATATAATATATTGTATATATTATATAATATATTGTATATATATAAATATATATTTTTTTAATATATATAATCTTTTTGAGACGGAGTTTTGCATATATATATGCAAAAATAAATAAATTATACATATAAAATATATACATTATATATAAATATATAAATATATTTTCATATATATAAAATATATAATATATAATTTATATATAAATATATAAAATGTTTTATATATAAAATTTATTTTATATATAATTAATTATATATATAATTAATTATATATATATAAAATTTATTTTATATATATATATAAAAAATTAGCTGGGTCCGGTGGCGCTTGGCTGTAATCCCAGCTAGTTAAGAGGCTGAGGCACCGATAATCACTTGAACTGGGGAGGCAGATATTACAGTGAGCTAAGACTGTACCACTGCACTCCAGCCTGGGTGATAGAGTGAGATTCTGTCTCAACAAACAAACAAACAAACGAACAAGAGAACCTCCAACATATGTTTTGAGAAAGGACATCTCACTGAGTTCCTAACTCATTACTCGACTGGTAAAATATGACACTGAGATATTTCCATTTCTGGGGGAGTTTACGCAGAAAATAAACATGAACAGAAGATTGTGTTAAATCAATTATCTTTAAAATAACATATTTTTACTAAGCTAAATAATATTCCAAAATAAAACATAAATGTTTTACCTAAAACGCCTCCCACGCTGCTGGTTCATTTTTGCTCGAGGAGCCACACCATCTACAGCCATAAAGAACACTTTCCTGGGTTTAATAATGCGAAACAACACCTCCAGGTAGTGAAAAATATCAGTAAAGATTTTATCATCTGAAATTCTAAAGTGAACATCATCATCATTAGGATGGGAGCACTGATGTATAATTCCATTCATATCCAGGTACAAGTTGTCAAATTCAGGAATCTGAAAAACAAAGAAAAATGCTTGAGATCATTTATTTTAATCAACTACAGATATCTTAAGCAGCAGGGAAAAGTGATTATTCAATGATGAAAAGCAGGATTTGTGTATTCTATTATACAAAAACTGAGTAAACAATCACAGATGAATACAAAAAGTAAAGAATTGGTAATATGGTGACAAATTTGGTTTTATATAATGCACCAATGACTTGATCAAATTTACTGTCAGAAAATAATCTACTTATTCAAAATAATAAGCTCCAAGAAAACACCAAATAAAGTGCTTGGTTCATTTGGTACTCAAAATATTAGTTTCGTTCCTTCCTACCATTTGACATTAACTCCTCAAAACCTCAATTTCCTCTATAATGGGTAACAAAAAGCCCATTTACATCAAAAGGCTGTTTGTACATGGTTACTGAAACATTTAACATATGATGTAAAGCCTAATTGTATACTTAGTTTCACTGAAGCAGTCACTGATTGGTTATATTAATTTTTAAAATGTTAGATTATGCCAAGAAATTTATGAAACTGAAACCTGAAAAACAGATTTCTTGTTTGTGATATGTGGGTTAATAATTTGTAAGCTCCGAATAACAAACATCTGCTTTTATAAGAAGACCTTAATGGCTCTCTCATTTATTTTTCCTCTATTTAAATGTTTGTGTTGGAACTCTTGGTCCCACCAGGAACAAAAATTTTTTTAACTAAAAATAAAAAAAGTAAATGTTTGTGAGGATGGGGAACATTACTGAAACAAATACACATTAAGATGGAACTGAAATGGGTAAAACTAAAGAGTTATATTTTGTACTGTAATAAAAGAATCTTAGAATAGAGTCTGCCTTACATATTCATTAAAGTAAATTACTTTGAATTTTTTCCTTGTATAAACATAATAGAAATCACTTCTGAAACAGTAATTCAAGTTTTACAACACGTACAAGTAACAATATATTTTCCTGCTACTGAGAAAATGGCATGCCTTTGAGTTTTGGGAGTGAAAAGTTTTGGTCTCTGAATCAATGAACACCATCAAAACATATTTTTATGAAATACCTATTTATATAGTATTGTATGTACAAGCATAACATAAAAATTCTGGAATGTTCTTACTGACAGGCTGAACTGAAATGACAGTTGTAACCATGAGAGTTTTAAAGTGCACTCAAGATTTACTGTTTATTCCAAGAAATCTGAAAACCTCAATGAAAATCTCAGTGTGACTTTTCAACAGGGGTATTTTATTTATTTTTATTTTTATTTTTTGAGACAGGGTCTCGATCTGTCACCCAGGCTGGAGTGCAGTGGTGCGATCTCGGCTCACTGCAGCCTCCACCTCCCAGGCTCAAGCAATCCTCCCACCTCAACCTTCAGTGTAGCTGGGACCACTGACACATGACAACAAACGTGATAATTTCATATCTTTTTCACACGCTAATTTTCATATCTTTTGTATGAAAAAATACCAGCCATGTTGCCCAGGTTGGTCTTGAATTCCCGAGCTCAAGCGATTTGCCTGCCCAGGCCTCCCAAAGTGATGGAATTACTACAGGTGTGAGCCACTGCGCCTGGCCTCAGCATCAACGACTTGATCAAATTTTTTTTTTTACACTTTTTTTTTTTTTTTTTTTACATTTTACAGAACGATTTTCCAAAGTTTTCCTAGGAGAATAAATATGCAATAATAGCCAAGAAGAGTATTAAAAAGAAGAATAAGCTGGGTGTGGCAGCACGTGTCTGTTCTAGCTACTTGAGAGACTGAAGTGAGAGAATCTTTGAACCCATAGGTTCAAGGCTGCAGTGAGTGGTGATTGCATCACCAAACTCCAGCGTGGGAGACAGAGTAAGACCCTTTGTCTCTATAAAACAAACAAACAAAAAGAAGAATCAAAGGAAATTTGCCCTAGATAAGTTATCAAACAGATGGTTTGAATGGAAATTTAGTATATAAAAAATAAAACTCCATCTTACGCTAAAACAAAAGAAATTCCAGAAGGATTAAAAATTTTACTGTAAGAAATGTAACAAAAAAATTACATACAAATATTTTTAAACTCTTAGGGTAGGAAAAGCCAGAAATCATAAAGCAAATAAATGGTAGAGTTATCTAAAAATGTATTGTTTTACATATATAGGGTTAAAAAGCGCCATATATAATTCAATTAAAAATGACAAAACGTAGGGAAATGTTTGCAAATTAGAAGTCAACATCTCTGGCCGGGCGCGGTGGCTCACGCCTGTAATCCCAGCACTTTGAGAGGCCGAGGAGGGCAGATCACGAGGTCAGGAGATCGCGACCATCCTGGCTAACACGGTGAAACCCCGTCTCTACTAAAAAAATACAAAAAAATTAGCTGGGCTTGGTGGCAGGTGCCTATAGTCTCAGCTACTCGGGAGACTGAGGCAGGAGAATGGCGTGAACCCAGGAGGCGGAGCTTGCAGTGAGCGGAGATCGAGCCACTGCACTCCAGCCTGGGCAACTGAGCAAGACTCTGTATCAAAAAAAAAAAAAAGAAGTCAACATCTCTAACACATAAAAAATACTGAAATACTGAAATATAAGAAAAAGAGCAAATTTTTGACTGGGCACGGTGGCTCACACCTGTAATCCCAGCACTTTGGGGGCCAAGGTAGGTGGATCACTTGAGGTCAGGAGTTCAAGATCAGCCTGGCCAACAAAGTGAAACCATCTCTACCAAAAATACAAAAATTAGCCTGGGTGGTGGCGCATGCCTGTAATCCCAGGTACTTAGAAGGCTGAAGCATGAGAATCGCTTGCACCTGGGAGGTGGAGGTTCCAGTGAGCTGAGATCATGCCACTGCACTCCAGCCTTGGCAACAGAGTGAAACTGTCCCCACCCCCCAAAAAAAAAAAAAAAAAAAGGCCAGGTGCAGTGGCTCACGCCTGTAATCCCAGCACTTTGGGAGGCCAAGGCGGGTGGATCACAAGGTCAGGAGATCGAGACCATTCTGTGAATGGTGAAACCCCATCTCTACTAAAAATACAAAAAATTAGCTGGGCGTGGTGGTGGGCGCCTGTAGTCCCAGCTACCTGGGAGGCTGAGGCGGGAGAATGGCGTGAACCCAGGAGGCGGAGCTTGCAGTGAGCTGAGATCGTGCCGCTGCACTCCAGCCTGGGCGACAGAGCGAGACTCCACCTCAAAAAAAAAAAAAAAAAAAAAAATTTAAAGCAATCACAGAAAATGGAAAGCAATTCAGAAATGAATAAACAAAAAAGTCATAAGTCTAATAAGCACATGAAAAGATGTTCACCATCCAAAATTTCTCATTGAAATAACACATCATTTTCCCACATTAGTAAAAATTAAAGAGACTGATGTTACCCAGTATTAACAGGGCTTTGGGGAAGCACATATTTCATGTTATTAAAAGCAATGGCTGGCATTTATTATGCAATTATTAGGTATTAAACATTGGGCTAAATATGTATATTCATTCTCTGACTTAATTATAACAACCTTAAAAGATAAATATTTAGCATTCTAATTTTAGAGAAAAGTCGTGGAGCTAGAAAAACAGAAATAGGGTTTATACCCAATAGTTTGGGACTAGAATGTAAATTGGCATAACTAATCACAAAGTACGAATTAAAATTTGAAACGTGTATCTTTGACCCAGGATTTCTACTATTGAAAATTTATCCTGAAAAATAATCAGATATGATTAACTTGTAAAGATGAAGTATAAAATATTCATGGCAGTATTGTACAGAAAAGATAAAAATAGAAAACTGATGATGGTACATCCATACAATGGAATTCAACACAGCAATTACAAATTATGAAATAGATTCATATTTGGCATGGAATAATATGCATAATATATATCATCAAGTGACAAAGGCAGGGTATAAAACAGCAGGTAAAGTATCCTATTTATAGGAAATATTTATTTACATACGTATCTGCATAGAAAAGTTAGAAAGTATATAAAAACAAGATGTTACTAGGGGTCAACCATGGATGATGAAAGCTTTTTACTTTCCTCTAGACTATACAATAATTTTTATATTTTTCCGCATTATCTGAATTTTTTAAAATAATGAGCATATATTACCTTTATAATCTAAAAAATACCCCATATAATTTTCCTTTTAGAAAAGAAATATTTGAAAAATTCTCTTAGGTTTCAGACTAGTAAGAAAGACAAAGAATAATTAATCATTGGCCAATGTGTTGAATAAAGTGAGAACATGCAGTAGAACTTTGCTCCCATACAAAGAGATTACTGATAATGTAGTTTCTCTTCTCAGTTATTACATTGGCAAGTTAGAAATTTCAAGGTTATTTTATACTCTCTGCCTTCTCCAATCCCATATCCAATTAGTCACTGAGGTATTTTTCTTTTTAATTTAACATCCAAAATGTTTCTAGAATCTTACCATCTTATCCATTTCCACTGTCTTAGGTAATCTCATCCTTTTCTCTATGCCCAGATCTCCCACACTGGTCCATGCCCCTCAGTTTCCCAACAGAACTGCTTGCTTCCAGTTTTCTCTCTCACCACAGTTTAGCTATTTTTCTAAAACATAATCTGATCACATTGCTTCCTTACCTAAACCCATAGGATACTACAAATCCTTAATAGCATAAAAGGTCCTGCATGATTTGGCTGCTATTTTCCCCACCAATCCTATATTCTTTCCTCTTTCTACATATCTTTACAAGCTACTACAAGAAAACATTGAGGAAAATCTCTAGGACATTGGTCTGGGCAAAAATGTCTTAAGTAATATCCCACAAGCATAGGAAACTAAAGCAAAAATGGAGAAATGGGATCACATCAAGTTAAAAAGCTTCTGCACAGCATAGGAAACAATCAGCAAAGTGAAGAGACAACCCATAGAATGGAAGAAATGTATTTGCAAACTACTCACCTGACAAGGGATTAATAATCAGAATATACAACGAGCTCAAACAACTCTATAGGATGAAATCTAATAATCCAATCAAAAATGGGCAAAAGATCTGAACAGACATTTCTCAAAAAAGGACACACAAATGGCAAATAGGAACATGACAAGGTGCTCAACATCACTGATCATCAGAGAAACGCAAATCAAAACTACAATGAGATATCATCTTACCCCAGTTAAAATGGCCTTTATCCAAAAGACAGGCTACAACAAATGCTAGCAAGGATGTAGAGAAAAGGGAACCCTCATACACTGTTGGCAGGAATGTAAATTAGTACAACCACTATGAAGAACAGTTTGAAGGTTCTTCAAAAAACTAAAAATAACTAGAATCCAGCAGCCCAGACCCCTTTCTTTGTGGTCAAGAAAGGCGGGAAAACAGGTGCAGGACTGCTACATTGGGGAGCGTAACTAATCCGATAGGCAGAGGTCCGTGGGGAGTTACGCACCCTGGAAAGGAACTCACCCCTGAGCACAAAGGCAATTTTGGGCACGCTGGTAAAGGACCACTAGAATCCAGCAGTCCAGACCCTTTTCTTTGTGGTCAAGAGAGGCGGGAAAACAGGTGCAGGACTGCTACATCGGTAAGCGTAACTAATCCGATAAGCAGAGGTCCATGGGTGGTTACGCACCCTGGAAAAGAATAAGCATTAGGCCCTTACAGGACGCTCTAGGACTAATGCTCATTGGAAAATGACTAGGGGTGCTGGCATCCCTCTGTTCTTTTTTCAGATGGGAAACGTTCTCCCCCACAAGGCAAAAACGCCCCTAAGATGTATTCTGGAGAATGGGACCAATCTGACCCTCAGACACTAAGAAAGAAATGACTTATACTCTTCTGCAGTACCGCCTGGCCACGATATCCTCTTCAAGGGGGAGAAACCTGGCCTCGTGAGGGAAGTATAGATTATAACACCATCCTACAGCTAGACCTCTTCTGTAGAAAGGAGGGCAAATGGAGTGAAGTGCCATATGTGCAAACTTTCTTTTCATTAAGAGACAACTCGCAATTATGTAAAAAGTGTGGTTTATGCCCTACAGGAAGCCCTCAGAGTCTACCTCCCTATTCCAGTGTCCCCCCGACTCCTTCCCCAACTAACAAGGACCCCCCTTTAACCCAAACGGTCCAAAGGAGACAGACAAAGGGGTAAACAATGAACCAGAGTGCCAATATTCCCCGATTATGCCCCCTCCAAGCAGTGGGAGGAGGAGAATTCGGCCCAGCCAGAGTGCATGTACCTTTTTCTGTCTCAGACTTAAAGCAAATTAAAATAGATCTAGGTAAATTCTCAGATAACCCTGATGGCTATATTGACGTTTTACAAGGGTTAGGACAATCCTTTGATCTGACATGGAGAGATATAATGTTACTGCTAGATCAGACACTAACCCCAAATGAGAGAAGTGCCGCCATAACTGCAGCCCGAGAGTTTGGCAATCTCTGGTATCTCAGTTAGGTCAATGATAGGATGACAACAGAGGAAAGAGAACGATTCCCCACAGGCCAGCAGGCAGTTCCCAGTGTAGACTCTCACTGGGACACAGAATCAGAACATGGAGATTGGTGCCGCAGACATCTGCTAACTTGCGTGCTAGAAGGACTAAGGAAAACTAGGAAGAAGCCTATGAATTATTCAATGATGTCCACTGTAACACAGGGAAAGGAAGAAAATCCTACTGCCTTTCTGGATAGACTAAGAGAGGAATTAAGGAAGCATACCTCCCTGTCACCTGACTCCATTGAAGGCCAACTAATCTTAAAGGACAAGTTTATCAGTCAGCTGCAGACATTAGGAAAAAACTTCAAAAGTCCGCCTTAGGCCCAGAGCAAAACTTAGAAACTCTACTGAACTTGGCAACCTTGTTTTTTTATAATAGAGATCAGGAGGAGCAGGCGGAACAGGACAAACGGGATTAAAAAAAAAAAGGCCACCGCTTTAGTCATGGCCCTTAGGCAAGTGGACTTTGGAGGCTCTGGAAAAGGGAAAAGCTGGGCAAATCGAATGCCTAAAAGGGCTTGCTTCCAGTGCGGTCCGCAAGGACACTTTAAAAAAGATTGTCCAAGTAGAAATAAGCCGCCCCCTTGTCCATGCCCCTTATGTCAAGGGAATCACTGGAAGGCCCACTACCTCAGGAGACGAAGGTCCTCTGAGACGAAGGTCTCAGGAGACGAAGGTCCTGCTGAACCAGATGATCCAGCAGCAGGACTGAGGGTGCCCGGGGAAAGCGCCAGCCCATGCCATCACCCTCACAGAGCCCTGGGTATGCTTTACCACTGAGGGCCAGGAGGTTAACTGTCTCCTGGACACTGGCACGGCCTTCTCAGTCTTACTCTCCTGTCCTGGACAACTGTCCTCCAGATCTGTCACTATCCGAGGGGTCCTAGGACAGCCAGTCACTAGATACTTCTCCCAGCCACTAAGTTGTGACTGGGGAACTTTACTCTTTTCACATGCTTTTCTAATTACGCCTGAAAGCCCCACTCCCTTGTTAAGGAGAGACATTCTAGCAAAAGTAGGGGTCATTATACACCTGAACATAGGAGAAGGAACACCCGTTTGTTGTCCCCTGCTTGAGGAAGGAATTAATCCTGAAGTCTGGGCAACAGAAAGACAACATGGACGAGCAAAGAATGCCCATCCTGGTCAAGTTAAACTAAAGGATTCCACCTCCTTTCCCTACCAAAGGCAGTACCCCCTTAGACCCGAGGCCCAACAAGGACTCCAAAAGATTGTTAAGGACCTAAAAGCCCAAGGCCTAGTAAAACCATGCAATAGCTCCTGCAATACTCCAAATTTAGGAGTACAGAAACCCAACAGACAGTGGAGGTTAGTGCAAGATCTCAGGATTATGAATGAGGCTGTTGTTCCTCTATACCCAGCTGTACCTAACCCTTATACTCTGCTTTCCCAAATACCAGAGGAAGCAGAGCGGTTTACAGTCCTGGACCTTAAGGATGCCTTTTTCTGCAACCCTGTACATCCTGACTCTCAATTCTTGTTTGCCTTTGAAGAGCCTTCGAACCCAACGTCTTAACTCACCTGGACTGTTTTACCCCAAGGGTTCAGGGATAGCCCCAACTATTTGGCTAGGAATTAGCCCAAGACTTGAGCCAATTTTCATACCTGGACACTCTTGTCCTTCGGTACGCGGATGATTTACTTTTGGCCGCCCATTCAGAAACCTTGTGCCACCAAGCCACCCAAGCGCTCTTAAATTTCCTCGCCACCTGTGGCTACAAGGTTTCCAAACCAAAGGCTCAGCTCTGCTCACAGCAGTTTAAATACTTAGGGCTAAAATTATCCAAAGGCACCAGGGCCCTCAGTGGGGAATGTATCCAGCCTATACTGCTTATCCTCATCCCCAAACCCTAAAGCAACTAAGAGGGTTCCTTGGCATAACAGGTTTCTGCCGAATATGGATTCCCAGGTACGGCAAAATAGCCAGACCATTATATACACTAATTAAGGAAACTCAGAAAGCCAATACCCATTTAGTAAGATGGACACCTGAAGCAGAAGTGGCTTTCCAGGCCCTAAAGAAGGCCCTAACCCAAGCCCCAGTGTTAAGCTTGCCAATAGGGCAAGACTTTTCTTTATATATCACAAAAAAACAGGAATAGCTCTAGGAGTCCTTACACAGGTCCGAGGGACGAGCTTGCAACCGTGGCATACCTGAGTAAGAAAACTGATGTAGTGGCAAAGGGTTGGCTTCATTGTTTATAGGTAGTGGCTGCAGTTGCAGTCTTAGTATCTGAAGCAGTTAAAATAATACAGGGAAGAGATCTTACTGTGTGGACACCTCATGATGTGAATGGTATACTCACTGCTAAAGGAGACTTGTGGCTCTCAGACAACCATTTACTTAAATATCAGGCTCTATTACTTGAAGGGCCAGTGTTGCGACTGTGCACTTGTGCAACTCTTAACCCAGCCACATTTCTTCCAGACAATGAAGAAAAGATAGAACATAACTGTCAACAAGTAATTGCTCAAACCTAAGCCGCTCGAGGGGACCTTTCAGAGGTTCCCTTGACGGATCCTGACCTCAATTTGTATACTGAATTCGCATACAATTCGTATACAATTCATTCGTATTCATATACATACAATGAATTCGTATACAAAAAGTCCTTCATAGAAAAAGGACTTTGAAAAGCAGGGTATGCAGTGGTCAGTGATAATGGAATACTTGAAAATAATCCCCTCATTCCAGGAACTAGTGCTCAGCTGGCAAAACTAATAGCCCTCACTTGGGCACTAGAATTAGGAGAAGGAAAAAGGGTAAATATATATACAGACTCTAAATATGCTTACCTAGTCCTCCATGCCCATGCAGCAATATGGAGAGAAAGGGAATTCCTAACTTTGGAGGGAACACCTATCAAACATCAGGAAGCCATTAGGAAATTATTATTGGCTGTACAGAAACCTAAAGAGGTGGCAGTCTTACACTGCCGGGGTCATCAGAAAGGAACGGGAAATAGAAAGGAACCGCCAAGAGGATATTGAAGCCAAAAGAGCCGCAAGGCAGGACCCTCCATTAGAAATGCTTATAGAAGGACCCCTAGTATGGGGTAATCCCCTCCAGGAAACCAAGCCCCAGTACTCAGAAGAAGAAATAGAATGGGGAAGCTCACGAGGACATAGTTTCCTCCCCTCAGGATGGCTAGCCACCGAAGAAAGAAAAATACTTTTGCCTGCAGCTAACCAATGGAAATTACTTAAAACCCTTCACCAAACCTTTCACTTAGGCATTGATAGCACCCATCAGATGGCCAAATTATTATTTACTGGACCAGGCCTTTTCAAAACTATCAAGCAGATAGTTAGGGCCTGTAAAGTGTGCCAAAGAAATAATCTGCACTGCAGGCCATACATTTCAATCCCTGTATCTTTTTATTTTTATTTTTATTTTGAGATGGAATCTCGCTCTGTTGCCCAGGCTGGAGTGCAGTGGCGCGATCTCACCTCACTGCAAGCTCCGCCTCCTGGGTTCACGCCATTCTCCTGCCTCAGCCTCCTGAGTAGCTGGGACTACGGGCGCCCAACACGACGCCCGGCTAATTTTTTGTATTTTTAGTAGAGACGGGGTTTCACCGTGTTAGCCAGGATGGTCTCAATCTCCTGACCTCGTGATCCACCCGCCTCGGCCTCCCAAAGTGCTGGGATTACAGGCGTGAGCCACCGCGCCCGGCCCAATCCCTGTATCTTTAACCTCCTTGTTAAGTTTGTCTCTTCCAGAATCGAAGCTGTAAAACTACAAATCGTTCTTCAAATGGAGCCCCAGATGCAGTCCATGACTAAGATCTACCGCGGACCCCTGGACCGGCCTGTTAGCCCATGCGCTGATGTTAATGACATCAAAGGCACCCCTCCCGAGGAAATCTCAACTGCACCACCCCTACTACGTGCCAATTCAGCAGGAAGCAGTTAGAGCAGTCATCGGCCAACCTCCCCAACAGCACTTAGGTTTTCCTGCTGAGAGTGGGGACTGAGAGACAGGACTAGCTACATTTCCTAGGCCGACTAAGAATCCCTAAGCCTAGCTGGGAAGGTGACCGCATCCACCTTTAAACACGGGGCTTGCAACTTAGCTCACACCTGATCAATCAGAGAGCTCACTAAAATGCTAATTAGGCAAAACAGGAGGTAAAGAAATAGCCAATCATCTACTGCCTGACAGCACAGTGGGAGGGACAAGGATCGGGATGTAAACCCACGCATTCAAGCCGGCAACAGCAACCCCCTTCGGGTCCCCTCCTTTTGTATGGGAGCTCTGTTTTCACTCTATGTCACTCTATTAAATCTTGCAACTGCAAAAACAAACAAACAAACAAAAACAAACTAAAAATAGAGCTACCATATGATCCCAGCAACCCCACTGCTATCTGTGTTAATATAACCCAAAGAGAGGAAATCAGTATATCGCAGATATCTGCACTCCTTTGTTTGTTGCTGTACTGTTCACAATAGCCAAGATTTGGAAGCAACCTAAGCGTCCATCAACAAATGAATGGATAAAGAAAATGTGGTATATACACAATGGAGTACTATTCAGCCACAAGAAGGAATGAGATCCTGCCATCTGCAACCACATGGGTGGAAATGCAGTTCATTATGTCAAGTAAAATAAGTCCAGCACAGAAAGACAAACATTGCATGTTCTCACTTATTTATGGAATCTAAAAATCAAAACAATAGAACTCATGGACATAGAAAATAGAAAGATGGTTCCTAGAGGCTGGGAAGGGTAGTCGGGGAGTCAGGGGAGAGGTGGGAAAGGTTAATGGGTATAAAAGAAAAACTGAAAGAACGAATAAGACCTAGTCTGGGCACGGGGGCTCACGCCTGTAATCCCAGCACTTTGGGAGGCCGAGGCGGGCAGATCACTTGAGCCCAGTAGTTCAAGATCAGAGTGGGCAACATGGCAAAAACCCATCTCTATTTTTAAAAAGATTTAAATTAAAACAAACAGAACAAAAAAACACAGGCCAGGCACGGTGGCTCATGCCTATAATCCAAGGACTTTGGGAGGCTGAGGTGGGCGGATCACTTGAGGCCACCAGGAGTTGGAGAAGAGCCTGGCCAACACGGCAAAACTCCATGTCTACTAAGAACACAAAAATTAGCTAGGCGTAGTGGCACACGCCTAATCCCAGCTACTTGGGTGGCTAAGGCACAAGACTTGCTTGAACCGGGGAGGCAGGGGTTGCAGTGAGCCGAGATTGCGTCACTGTACTCCAGCCGGGGTGACAGAGCGCGACCTTGTATCCAAAATAAAAAATAAAAAAAAAGAATGAATAAGACCTACTATGTGATAGCACAACAGGGTGACGATAGGCAATAATTTAAAAACAACTAAAAGAGTGTAATTAGATTTTAACACAAAGGATAAATACTTGAGTGGATGGATACTCCATTCTCCATGATATGATTATTACACACTGCATGCCTGTACGAAAACATCTCATGAACCCCATAAGTATATACACTATGTTTCATAAAAAAAAATAATCATAATAATCCCAGGCTTCATTTCACTTTTTTAAAAAATACTGTTTTACAACATACTAATATACCATGTCTATTTTAATATGCATTTCTATATGCTATATGCTATAGCTAATAAATTAATTCACTCAAAAAATATTTACTGAGTACCCATTCTGTTATGCTGCTTTGGTTTTTTCTTTTTCAGGCACCTCTACTATTTGTCTTCTTTGCCTATCTTTCTTATCGTTACTTTTTCTTGAATCTTTTAAATCTATTTTATTTTTTAAAATTTCATCTTTCCACTGCCGATTGTTTTCTCAAATGGTATCATTTGCTCGTCTTGCTTCTATTTGAGGCTCAGCTCTGCATTTTTTTTTCATTTACTTCTAACTTTCTCTGTCATCTCATTCTCACATTTTCATAATTGATACACGTTGTTCTTTCATGTCTTACCTCATTTTCTTAATGCCTTTTAACTCATTGTGAAATAGATAATAGTTTTGGTTATAATTTTGGTCTATTTTGTGTGCATTTTTTTCATTGCAAGTTTTTATGTCTGGAGAGATACTCTGTCCCTTTTTCTCGTATAATAACTTTGTATGTAATTTGATCTCAATACCTTTCTGTAGCTCATTTTTATGTGAATTTAATTTTCTTGAACTTTTAGAATGAGTAGAGGTTCAGGGAATATAAGTTCACAAAGCTGTTTCTGGGTAGTGTTAAAAAATACAGTGGTTTGCTTTGTGGTTTGTTTTCTAAGATTTCTTGATTCTATGACTTTGCCTCACTTTTATATGGTCTATCTCCTTCTCTTCTTGTCTCTATTGTCCCTTTCATAAAATTTTATTCCACTTCCAGCATAACATTTCCGTAAGACTTTATTCCACTCCCTTTTCCTTAGGGCTCTGGTCTAGAATGGCACCTTGGCAAGTCAGTTTTGAGTGTTCACAGGAGGTAGACTACTCCTGCCTGTTTGGTCTTTCTTATGGTAGACCTTCACCCAGTCAATAATGGAGTGAATAAAACTCCTCTGTTTCAGCTACCGCTATCTAATTGGCCAGCACAGTCTTTTAGTGGATACCGCTGGCTATTCTGGAATTCTGTTCTAAGGTTCATCAGATGTTGCCCCATTGCTTCCTTCTCGCTTTTGCACAGATGGCAATATCAACGGTGTCTAGAGACTATTGATAGTTTGCCTCACCTAGTTATGTTTTGAGTTTCATGGGGATAGCATGTCACATGGTTTGTTGTAATTGTTTTATGGATTTTAAACTTTGGTTTCTAGTTTCTCTTTCTGTTTTTACAAGATGATTCAGAGAAACTGAAAACCTATGCTACTGAGGCCACACCACTGACTTCCCGTAACTTACTTCTTCTCCCTATCCTTCCCGCCCAGGACTAGCTTTTGAATGCCTGTGACTTATTTAGGCATTACCATCTTTAAGTTCTACTTAACAGAGAAGCTGATAACCTTTGGTCTCTTTTTAATCAAACATTTTTGAAAGGTATCACAACAATGAACCAAATTTTAAAATTTATTTACAGTGAAATTTAAAAATAATTCTCCTCCCAGTTTCTATATAAAGCTTTCACAAAACCTATCCTTAGTGTCCATGTCATAAAACTGCATTAAAGAGATTTTCATTCTTCAGTAACAAAATTCCTCAGGATGGAGAGAATCTAAGATATTTTCACCAAACCAAATTCTGTGCCACAGACTACAGAATAAAAATATTACTGAACAAATTATGTATTAAATCATCACGAATAACAATCGCATTATTTTTGCACTTTAGAGATAAAGTGACTGATATATAGCAGGTACTGACTGAAGGATGCAAGAAAAGCCAAAGTTGGTTGTCTCCATTTCTGCAATGTACTGGTTTCCTTTTTAGCCCTCCCCGGGGGAAAAAAATACCTCTCTAAACCTAACTCAATCTATGTTTCAAATAAATTCAAGATAAGCTAACCTTGGAAACTTTTTGTAGTCTATTTCTCATCTACCAAATCTGATTGGAATCCAGCAACAAAAACTCCTTTCCAGAAGTAAACTACCTTCATGTTCGTAAATGCCGATTAAACCATAATTTAATAGGCTATTTACAATACTACCCATCACAACTGATTCAATCAGCTACACAAATTTCAAGCTTTTTTTCTGTAAAGCATCAGAAAAGAGATCAAATTCATTAAATGTGACAAACACCAAAGTATCACCCAAAGTCTAGTTTACCTAATAGACGACTGCTTTCTCCTCTCTTTCCACAGTTCCAATATATAAACTACGTTTTCGGAATCTACACATTAACGTTGTCCTGGGGTCAGTACATGCCAAATATTATTAGTAGTATTAATGTTCTATCAATTCGTTTCCCAACCCCCTCTGTCACACAGTGAGGCCTCCAAATAAAAGGTCCTACGCCCCACTCCCCAGCTGGCCCAAGAGTTTTTTGTTTTGGCAACAGGGGATTGGTGCTGCTTTTGAAATAACAGAAAGTAACAAAAGGCATCACCAATATGACCATCAGCCACGTCGGAAAGTCTAGGCTCCGGGGGCCGGGTGGGCCGCGCTCTAGATCAGGGAAAGTAAACAAGGTGACTGCGTGCGGAAGCGGCTGTTATCGTCTGTAAGTGGGTCTGCCGCTCTGGGTGGGATGGGGGAACCTACGAGGACACCCACTCCAGCTTCGCAGCCTCTGTAAGGAAAAAGGCAACTTGCAGCTCCCCGGGAGGAAACCGGAGAACAGTAAAAGCGTTCTTTCCCAGGACTTCATTTCGGAGTCGCGGAAGGACCAGCAGAAGCAAGAGCTGTCAGAGAAGCCGTGAACCCAGCGGCTCTGTCCACACACAGGCAACCTGCGTCCTTAGCCCCTTTCGGCTCATCCGGGCGTCCTCAAACCTTCCGTCCCCCTCCCTAATGCCACTAATCGTCCAGACGACGAGGGGAAAGAGGTGGCTCGAAAGCCCCAGCTCTAAGGTGGAGAGGGCCGCGGAGCCCCGGGTCCTCGGCTTTCTGAGCCGTTGCCCCTCGCTCACCCACCTGATGCTCTTTCACCACTTCGCTGAGACAGGGATACCGCTCTGAGATCCATCTGTAAAACTTGGGGACTCCCATTTCGATCGTCAACACTAATCCCAGTCAGGGCCAAACCGAAACCAAACGCCCCGCCGGGGCTCCGCCGCAGCCTCCGGTCGTCGCTCCGCGGATGACAACACACCGCCCGGCCGACCATAGAGAGCGCCCGGCGGGCCTAGAGCGGCAGGATCCGAGGCCGTCCGAGGGGCGGGGCTTAGCCCTCCGGGCCTCGCGCGGCCGGGGCCGCGGTACTGTCCAGTGGCGGTCAGGGAATCTGCGGAGGTTTGCTGGTGTGTTGCAACTTAGGGGCGAAAATGCCCCATGATAGAGTTGTGCTTTCTAAGTGGATTTGGAAGTGGCATGAAAACCGTACGAAGGTGTGGGAAGGGTATCGAACACTGATTTTTGTTCCGCTTGTCTCCTAGGGTTGCTAATCTCAGTATTTTTCATTCAGATTTCGAAAGATCTGGTGATTTACTTGGCTTAGTTTGTTGTTTTGTCAATAATTTTTTTTCTCTGAGGAATTTAAACTTACGTTTCTTAATACATACGTTTAAAAACGTTCTTTTCCAAATTGTTCAAAAAAATTTCCCATGTACCCGCCCCCCGCAACTGTTAACATAAGACCTTGGATACGAAATCATTTAATGTTTAGTTTTGACATTCTTGCATCCGGGTTTATCATATTTTTCCCCATCACACTTTCAACCGCACAGCAAAGGAGAGTTCTATCAACTTAAGTGAAATTATCAGTTTTAAATGTAAGAGTTTTCCACTTATTTGAATGTATTAACCCGTTACTTTGTATTTAAGTCTTCTGGATGAAAACTTACAGAAAAACCTTAAACATTTAATACTTTTTGGATTTTAAGATCTCAGGAAATGTTAAGTATCGCTGTCTTTCATGACCACTGGATTCTGCATTCTGGGACTGCAGTATGGCAGCATCACACAAATTACAGAATGTTTATTTCGTTTTCACATTCACGCTTCTTGGCTTATATTTTTTCCCTATCACACTTTAAAACAAAGTTTTATTAAGTGAACTTAATGATATGCTATTTATATTTATATATCTCTCTTACTAGACTGTCACTTCCTGGAGGGCAGGAGAGGGTAGCTCTATGCACAAGTCTGGCACAACGCCTTGCCCACAGTATTTATTCCATATAATTTTGTTCTTCAAGTGAATCCTTACAATAGCTAGGACTTTTAAAAGGAAATCAATAGAAGTTGTAAAATGAAATTAGACTTGCTTGTTTCTTGCAAATATAGTTTTTGACCATAAGAACACATGATATTCTATTTCTCCAATTATAATGCACAGTATGTATTAAGAAAGCAGTTTATTTCTTAATAACTGAATGTATATTATTTTACATATAATTAATGATCAGAGAGAAATAACAGTTGCTGAGAACGTAAATTTATGTTGTACTTTAGAATTGAACAGATACAACCACAGATTCATACCAAATGCATTACTTTTAGATTATTAACATATTCTTTTACATAATTTCATTTCACATATATGGAGTCCAACCAAGATACATCTGGCATAGTAAGTTTTCATCAGTAGCTTCCTGTATAAGGTAATGCACATGTCCTTCAATAGATAACGGCAGTCCTGTCACTCTATTTCGAGTCTTGATTACACCTTGTAGTCGCTGCTCAATGTCAAGAACATGGGTCTTGGCCTAAAAAGAAGAAACATAAAACCAAAAACAGATGTTAATAATTTGGAATTACTACCTTTCTTTATATTTTGACATTTAATAAATGTTAATACCATTTTACTGACCAATACCCCTTTTGTAAGAGCAAATACAGGAAAAGAAGAAATTAAACAAATACAGTTAGCTTGTGATACTGATTTGGAGGCTCGCAAGATTGATTCAACATCAACTGCTTGGACATGTTTCTGGACTACGTGAAATACCAGGGAATTATTTACACATTACAATTCTAGAAAAATAATTTTTTAAATCTGCTTTGGAAGTGTTTAGGACTTAAACATTTCAATGAATATTCAAATAACAATGCTGTACTGCCTAATATTTACATTATGTTAGTACATGCAAATGGGTGTTCTAAGTGAGCTACTTGGAACTGTACAATTTCTTAAGCATATCTGAATGCAAAAGGAAGAATAACGTTATTAGAAGAATAATTCTCAGAGGTGGTGCTGGGTGGGCTGGTGGGCTGCGCTGCAGCCCACGAGCACAAAGAGGAGGGCCACGGGGTGGAGACTGTTGCTGTGCCATCTGCCATCGACTTTTCCGCCAAGAGCCTGGACTCCAAATATGACTTATGTTCCAGCAGAACTCCAGGTATTAAAATAACCCCTACAACAGCCAACTTTCCCTTTTGCAGTTGCAAACCAGCTGCCGCTTATTTCTTTGGTGAAGCACTTGAGCCATGTGCGTGAACCAAACCCAGTTCATTCAAGACAGTGTTTAAGTTACTTTGCCAGACCTTTATCAAAATGGGGCTGCTGTCTTCTTTCACTTGTGACAAGTTTAGCTCATTGAGACTACATCACCACAGAGCTATTACTCACTTAATGAGGTCCACTAAAGAGAGAGTTCATCAGGATCCTTGTGAGGCTATTTCTCATATCCAGAAAATCAGATCAAGGGAAGTACCCTTTGAAGCACAAACTTCACGTTACTTAAATGAATTTGAAGAACTTGCCATCTTAGGAAAAGGTGGATATGGAAGAGTATACAAGGTCAGGAATAAATTAGATGGTCAGTATTATGCAATTTAAAAAATCCTGATTAAGGGTGCAACAAAAACACATTACATGAAAGAACTACGGGGAATGAAGGTGCTGGCAGGTCTTCAGCACCCTAATATCATTCGTTATCACACTGCGTGGACAGAACATGTTCAAGTGGTCCAACCACAAGCAGACAGAGCTTCCGTTCAGTTGCCATTTCTGGAAGTGTTCTCCGACCAAGCAGACAGATACCAATACGGTGTTAAAAATGGTGAAAATAGCAGCTCACCCATTATCTTCGCGGAGCTCACCTCAGAAAAGAAAAACCCTTTGCAGAATCTGACACTCAAAATCAGAACAACAAGCTGTGAACTACACCATCAATTCCGTCTTAAGAGACACCAGTGAATATGAATCATCCCTGGAGCTCCAGGAAAATGGCCTGGCTGGTTTGTCTACCTGGTCAATTGTGAAACAGCCCCTGCTGCTCAGGTGTAATTCCCTCCTAGAGGAGAATTTCACATCCACTGAGGAATCTTCCAAAGAAAACTTCAACTTGTTGGGGATCGAGGTGCAGTACCACCTGATGCTGCACATCCAGATGCAGGTGTGCAAGCTCCAGCTGTGGGACTGGCTAGCTGAGAGAAACAAACAGGGCCAAGAGTGTGTGGGCAAGTTTGCCTGTCCTTATGGCCAGTGTTGCAACAAAAAATTTTCAAGATTTAGTGGAAGGTGTGTTTTACATACATAACATGGGTATTGTAAACAGAGATCTGAAGCCTAGAAATATTTTTCTTCATGGCCCTGATCAGCAAGTAAAAATAGGAGACTTTGGTCTGGCTTGCCCAGACATCTTACAAAAGAACACAGACTGGACCCATAGAAACAGAAAGAGAACACCAACACCTATATCCAGAGTGGGCACTTGTCTGTATGCTTCATCCCAGCAGTTGGAAGGATCTGAGTATGATGCCAAGGGTCTCACTCTGTTGCCCAGGCTGGAGTGCAGTGGTGTCATCATAGCTCACAGCAGCCTCCAACTCCTGGGGTCAAGTGATCCTCCCACCTCAGCCTCCCAAGTAGCTGGGACTACAGGAGTGTGCCACTGAGCCCAGCTAATTAAAAAAAAACAAAAACTATTTGTAGAGACCAGGGCTGGCTTTGTCCAGTTAGATATGTATATAGCTTGAGTGTGATCCTGCTAGAGCTCTTTCAGCTGTTTAGAACAGAAATGGAGCGAGCAGAAGTTTTAACAGGTTCAAGAACTGGTCAGATATTGGAATCCCTCAGTAAAAGGTATCCAGTACAAGCCAAGTATATCTATCACTTAACGAAAAGGAACATGTCCCAGAGACCATCTGCTCTTCAACTGCTACAGAGTGAATTTTTCCACAATTCTGGAAATATTAATCTCACCCTACAGATGAAGATAATAGAGCAAGAAAAAGAAATTTTTCTTTTAGTTCTTTTAGAAGAACTAAAGAAGCAGCTAAACCTTCTTTCTCAAGACAAAGGGTTAAGGATGACATGAAGGATGGGGGCGTACAGGTCTAGCCTTCCTCGAGCTATATCAGTAGGATGAAAGTGGACTTAAACTCTTTAGGTAGTTAACTGGAATGTAAATTTTTAATCTTTATTAGCATATAGTTGGTATAATTCATTGTATTTAGTAAGCCTGTACAAGACTTATTAAAGATGTAAGAGTGCCCCCCACCAAAAAAAACGAATCCTCAATCTATTCTAACTTATTAAAAACAACTATCTGAGCTAGGCACAGTGGCTTATGCCTATAATCCCTGCATTTTGGGATGCTGAGGTGGGTGGATCACTTGAAGCCAGGGGTTCAAGACCAGCCTGGCCAACATGGTGAAACCCATCTCTACTAAAAATATAATAATTAGCCAGCTGTGGTGGTGCACGCTTATAATCCCAGCTACTTGGGAGGCTAAGGCAGGAGAACTGCTTGAACCCAGGAGGCAGAGGTTGCCGTGAGCCAAGATCGTGCCACTGTACTCCAGCCTGGATGACAGAGCGAGACTCTGTCTCAAAAACAACAACCACCACCACCACCACAACAACAACAACAAAACTATCTGCAAACTTTGCAGCTTCAACTAAGTAAGAAGTGAATTGCTGCATTTGTTAACATAGCTTGTGACATACTGGTATCATGATATTAAAGCTCAGACCTGTTGTTCTGTAAGTTCAGGCAATTTGTACTATAGTTTTTCCTACTGTATCTCATAACTGTGAATTGTCTATGGTTAAACAAGTGTGCCATGAACTTTTATTATACAAATGCGAATACTGTTAACATTACTGACAATAAAGAAAACTTATGGCATTGTGATACTAGAGAACTAGATTTCAGAGTAATCAATAGTCACTAACAGTATTTCCAAGCAGTTCTCATGCATAGAGATGAGAACTATAGCTGCATATCAAGTTCATTTGTAGAGATGAGGACTACAGCCCATATCAAGCTATACCTTCTACTAACCTTTTCATTGACAACTTCTCCAGTTTCATTCAGTGGCGCTTTGGAATGCCCTTTCACTGGTTTACTCCATTCCACAAGAGGATCATGTAGAAAAGTCTTTAAGACACTAAAATTGAAACAAATATTATGGTATGATGTTATCTTTGCAAGAAGAAATCTTGCTGACATCAATATTTAAGTGAAGGATGAGAAGCTAATGGTAATACTCTTATAATACACATTACTACGTCTTCATTAAGTTATGTGAAATTTCTGTTTTGGTGTGAGGGGAGGGTAAGAGAAGGGAAGGCAGGAAAAAAGGCAAGATAGAGGGGAGTCAGAGGTGTTTTGGAGAATAGAGTAAGATGGGTTCTATGTGCCATCTCTAAGTGTATACTGTGAACTGGTAAATGACTATATTTTGAATGAAGGAATTTTATCCCTTACCATGTCTTCAATAACGATATAACATCTATAGCTACCATATAGACCTAGCCCAGACCTTTTTTCTGCACCCTAAACATCAAATCCAATTACCTATGGGAAATACCCAGTTGGATATGTTCCAAACACCTCAAACTCAGTATCTCCAAAATAAAATTAATTACCTTTTCCCAACTATTTCTCCTGTATTCCCCAAATCATCATCCACCCATTTGCCCTAGACAAAAATCTAGGAATCATCCTCACCCCGTCTTCCTCTAACATGCAATTACAACTCCTAAATCTCTTTGGAATCTCTTCAGTTATCTCCGTCTCTACGGCCGTGACACTATCCAGTACACCATCATCCTTTCCTGGGTTACTGCAATAAACCTCTAACTAGTTTTCTGGCTGTTGGCCCAAACTAGGACCCTATTTTTTCTACAGTACAAATCAGATTATCTCTTTCCACCCCTTGCCCCCTTTTTATTCCTTCTTAAAATCCTCAATGACTTCTGGTTGCTCTGCAGGCAAAGTTATAATGTAGTAACAGGCCCCATGTGAGACCTTCATAATCTAGCCCCTGCTTACCTGTCCTGCGTCATCTCTTAGCACCACCTCCTGGAAGTATACCCTCTGGAATACATACTGTATTTCTCAGGCAGGCCATGACTTCACTTGCCTTGATATTTTTATCACTCAGAACACTCTCTTCTCCCTTGCATGGTCAACTTTATTAACTTTTAAGGTCTCAACTACTTCCTCCAGAAATTATTTCTTGACTGACCCAGACTAACACAGGGGCTCTTGGTAACTGTTCCACATGATGATATACTTCCTATTTCAGAGAATTTGCTTTTGCATATGTCCAACTAACCAGTATTCTACCATAATGTCTGATAGACAGCTTTTTTTTTTTTTTTTTTTTTTTGAGACGGAGTCTCGCTGTCGCCCAGGCTGGAGTGCAGTGGCGCAATCTCGGCTCACTGCAGGCTCCGCCCCCTGGGGTTCACGCCATTCTCCTGCCTCAGCCTCCCGAGTAGCTGGGACTACAGGCGCCCGCCACCTCGCCCGGCTAATTTTTTGTATTTTTAGTAGAGACAGGGTTTCACCGTGTTAGCCAGGATGGTCTTGATCTCCTGACCTCGTGATCCGCCCGCCTCGGCCTCCCAAAGTGCTGGGATTACAGGCGTGAGCCACCGCGCCCGGCCCGATAGACAGCTTTTAAATAATGAAGGTGAATAAATAAGCTTTAAAAGTCCTTTCAAACAATCTGTTTCCCACAGCTAACATCATACTTAAAAGTCAAAGACTGACTGCTCTACCCCTAAGATCAGGAACAAGACAAGGATGTCCACTTTTAGCATGTCTATTCGACACTGATTTAGTTAGGGCAAGTAGGCAAGAAAAAGAAATAAAAGGCATTGATATTAAAAAGGAAGAAGAAAAACTGTATCTGCAGGTGACATGTTATTGTGGAGAGAAAATCTTAAGGAAGGCACAAAAATAATTATTAGAACTAATACATGAATTCAGCAGATTGTAAGATACAATATCAATATATAAATATCAATTATATATCTATGCACTAGCAATGAACAATCCAAAAATGAAATTAAGAAAAATTCCATTTAGAATAAAATCAAAAGGAATAAAATACTTAGGAATACAATTTTTAAAAGTTAAATATAAAACTTGACCCTAAAAACCACAAAACATTGATGAAAAAAATAAAATTCAAATAAATGGAAAAACATTCTATGTTCATCGATCAGAAGACTTAACATGGTTAAGACAGCAATACTCCCAAATTGTTAAGACAGCAATACTCCCTAATTGATTTACAAATTCAATGTCCTTCCTATCAAAATCCAAGCTGATTTTAAAATTAATATGGAAATACAAGGGACCCATAATAGCTAAATGATCTTGGGGGAAAAAAAGCAAAGTTGGAACACTCACACTTTATGATTTCAAAATTTACTACAAAGGTACAACAATCAAAACACTGTGTTGTTAGCATAAGGTTAGGCATATAGATCAACAGAATATTGCTGAAAATCAATTGACCATTTCAACAAAAAAGCCAAGATAATTAAACGAGGGGCAAAATATTCTTTTCAAAAAATGGTGCTGTGACTAATGGATATGCACATGCAAAAAAATGAATATGGACCCCTACCTTACACCATATCTACAAAATAACTGAAGACAGATAAAAGATTTAAATAGCAGAGCTAAAAGTCAAAAATGCTTAGAAGAACACATAGGTGTAAATCTTCATGACTTTGGATTAGGGAATAGTTTCTTAGATATGACAACAGAAACACCAAAAATAACCAGAAGAAAAAAACAAATTAGACTGCATCAAAATTTAAAACTTTTATGTTTCAAAGGCCATCATCAAAGAAAGTGAAGAGACAACCCACAGATGGAAGAAAATATTTGAAAATCATATCTTAAAAGGTCTTGTATCCAAAATGTGTAAAGAACTCTTGCAACTTGGCTGGGCGGGGTGGCTCATGCCTGTAATCCCAGCACTTTGGGAGGCTGAGGAAGGTGGATGGCTTGAGCTTACGAGTTCAAGACCAGTCTGGGCAACATGGCAAAACCCCTTCTCTGCTGGGGAGGCTGAGGCAGGGAAATCACTTGAACCCACGAAGCGGAGGTTGCAGTGAGTGGAGATCACGTTACTGCACTCCAGCCTGGGCGACTCTGTCTCAAACAAAGAAACAAACTCTTGCAACTCAAGAATAGGCCAGGCATGGTGGCTCATGCCTATAATCCCAGCACTTTGGGAGGCCAAGGTGGGAGGATCACTTGAGGTCAGGAGTTCAAGACCAGCCTGGCCAACGTGGTAAAACCCAATCTCTACTAAAAATGCAAGAATCAGCCAGACATAGTGGCTCATGCACACATGCTGTCCCAGCTACTTAGGAAGCTGAGGCACGAGAATCGTTTGAACCCAGGAGGCAGATGTTGCAGTGAGCCAAGATCACGCCACTGCACTCCAGACTGGGTGACAGAGCGAAACCCTGTCTCAAAGGAAAAAAAAAAAGAATAAAAAAACCCAATTTAAAAGTGGGCAAAGGATTTCAATAGACATTTGTCCAAAGATGATCTACAAATGGCCAACAAAGACATGAAAAGATGCTCACCATCACTGGTCATTAGGGAAGTGCAAATTAAAACCACAATGAGATACAACTTCACATCCCTAGAATGGCTAAAATAAAAAAGGCAGACAATAACCAGGATAGATAAAGATGTTATCTAAAGATAGAAAAGATGCAGAGAAGTTGAAACCCACATACATTACTAGTGGGATTATAAAGTGTTACAACTGCTTTGGAAAATGATTTGAGAGTTCTTCAAAATGTTAAGTACAGCATTTAACATATGACCCAGCAATTCCACTCCCAGGTATACACAAGAGAACTGAAAACATATGTCCACATAAAACTTGTGCACAATGTTCACAGCCACACTATTTATAATACACAAAAGGTGGAAACAATCCAAATGTCTCTTAACTGATGAACAGAAAAAGAAAATGTAGTATATCCATATAACAGGATACCATTTGGCAATAAAAAACAATGAAGTACTGATACATGATGAACACTGAAAATATTACATTAAGTGAAAGAAGACAAACACAAAAGGCCACATATTAGATGATTCCATTTATATGAAATGTCCTGAATAGGTAAATCCATAGAGACAGAAAATATTATAAATGAGTGGTTACAAGTAGATAGCAGGGGTGGGAGGGGGAAGGGATCAGGAGTGACTGCTAATGCCTACGGAATTTCTTTTTGGGCTGATGAAAATGTTTTAAAATTAGATAGTGGTAATGGATGCACAATCTTGTGAATATACTAAAAACCACTGAATTATGTACTTTTAAAGGGGTGAATTTATGGTATATAAATTATATCTGCATAAAGCTATTATTTAAAAAAACTATTTCAGTCAGTACAAAGTGGTTTCTACATAAAAACAAACATATGTAGGGGCCAATAATTATATTCGAGGTTACTGTTAAATTATTTACAAAGTATAGGTGATTACCTCATTAAAGGCTCTCGCTGATCACGCATCAGCCTCATTGTAACTTCACATGCTCTTCGAAAAAGACCCTCTGTTCCCATAGGACCCATTCCATTAACCATATTATGAGTCAGGCGAAATGGCACAATTTCTGGAACTTCAAAGGTTTCTCCCTTAGAAACAATACATTTTATTACAAACTAACAATGTTAGAATTTAAAAATCTTTACTCAAAGAACTTCATGTCCAGATTCTTTTAGCAAAAAGCAAAAATACCCTCAAAATATTTATGTTGTAATTACTTTAGAAGTTTGTAACATGAAGGAGCCATGTAGCTCTGCCTTTGCTTTTACAGAACTGAAACCATACTTGATCTTGGATAAGATCTAGGAGATAAGTGGACTTACCTTTCACTGAGTTTAGTACAGTGAATAAGCAGTATTACAGAGAAATTTTATGCATTCAATATTTAGTCTCATATTAACTTCTTTAATGTCTTTCTTGAATAATATGAAATACAAATATTCTCATATATTTCTACTTTTCTTTAACACTTTCATCTTAAAACAACAGAAGCAGCCAAGGGTCAGATGCTCACATCCCCTCATAAAGGAAATAAAACATGTCATATAATGAAGTCCAGTTGTTCATTTTCTGCTGTCCTCTAATCTGCCTTTTCTAGGGACCTTTCATCCCTTGTCCAATCAGTTACCCTAAATTCCTCTCTTGTATGGTTTAACCCATGCCAGTATTTTATCTCTGATTTGTTCTCAGTTGGATCTATGATCTTTCTTGGTTTCTTGTGACAGCACAAGGCAACCTGTAGATGATGGAGGTGAAGAAAATAGTGCGCTAACCTACCAGTCTGCCCTGCAGGATTATAATATTGGAAAATTGTAGGGGGCCTTAAAGATGGGTCCAATTGCCTCAATTTATTCCCAGGTCCCACTCTGGACCTACAGAATCTGAATCTCCTGGGTATCTATAAATTTTTTTTTAATTCTTGGATAATTCTGATATGTTGCTAGAATTGGAAACTATCGTATTAAACTACTCTGTCTCTCTAAAACTGAGTCTCAGTAAAATGAACTGATCTGCCCTTATTCACATAACTAATAACTAATTGAGTCAGAACCTAAACCTATGCTCTTGGACTTCAAATTCAGTACTAGCTTTACAGTATCACTCTTCTAAGTTCTCTCCATCCTAATACGCATTACTACATGATCCACTGATGAAAACTAGTCAACAAATTCTCAGTATAACTCAACTGTGAGTATAACTGCTACTAACAGGTATGTCAAGGAAGATACAGTTGTTGAGAAAAGGAAATTGAGAGAAAACACAATTAGTAAGAGTAACTCATATCACATACCTTATTGAAAAGACAATTGAAATCTACATGTACGCATTCACCAGTCAAAGAATCAAAGAGAATATTTTCACCATGACGGTCTCCAAGCCCCAGAATATAACCAACCATTGACATTACTGCAGTGGAACGGCAGTAAGCTGATCTACTACTGTACCTAAAAGAAACACAATGCCTATGAAATATCCATATACATATGAGGCCAATATAAATCTAAAATATTAAAAATAAACATTCAACCATAACAACGTATTATATTCTTGGTAACTTACCATGATGTAGGATCAGGGAATGTTCTCAGAAACCACTCATGAAAAATAGGAGGATGCCTGGGCAGGAGAAATTCTCGGAATACTTTGAGTTTTTCAGATAAAGCTGCTGACTTTGGTAGCATACACTGGCGAAGTTCTTTTCCTGTCATATACACTCCTGCAAGGAAGAGTGATATCCATTAATCACATCAGCCAAATGAAAAAAGGGGCAAAGTTTTTTTTGTTAAAATTGGACAAGAAACATCTACTTTTATTCAAATTGTTATTGAAAAACAAGAATAAAGGAACATTTTTCAATTAAGCATACATAAAGTTACTGATTGTATAATAAAATAATAAACCACATTATCTTCCCTTAATACAGATGACCCTTGAACAACATGAGTTTGAACTGTGTGGGTCCACTTACATGTGATTTTTTTCAACCAAACATGGATCAAAAACATGGGATGTAAAATCAGTATATACTGAAGGCTGACTTTTCATACATGCAGGTTCTGCAGGGCTGACTGAGACTTGAGTATGTGTGGATTTTGGTATGTGAGGGTATTCTGGAAGCAATCCTCCAGATAAGGAGGGACCACCGTACTTACCCAAGTGAAGCCTCTTATTGATGAAAATTAATGTCAGTTAAAACCAGTGTTGTGAAATCAAATAGTTCCAGAATACAAGACTCAAAATTAAGTCCCATATGAATGAACTTATTTTGCATATATGTGTACATATCAATATATATGTATATATACATATATTTTTTACACTGACACAAATTATCAAGAAAAAATATATTTTCAAATCCAAACTCAGACATATACAATATGTCATGCTCATAAATAAAATAGTCAACAGCAAGTTCTTTGAACTCTGACTCAAGTGTCTCTGAGTTTCAGTTTTGCAACTGTGAACTTAGACAAGTTACGTAAGTTCTCTGGCACTGTCCATAAAATAGGGATGGATAATCAGGCGTGTTAACAATAATAAATAAAATAATGTACATAACATACTTGGCACAATACCCATTATATAGTGATTTATCAGTATTACTTAATGTTATAAATTGAACTTTATCTCTCAAAAAAATATGCTGAAATCCTAATTCTTGGTACCTGGGAATGTGAGCTTATTCAGTAACAGGATCTTTGCAGATGTAATGTTGTTAAGATAAAGTCATTAAGGTGGGCCCTTAATTCAATAATCCAGTGACTGGTGTTCTTATGAGAAAATAGAGACACAGAGACATAGAGAGAATGCTATGTAACAATAAAGGCAATGTGGTACAATACATCCAGAAGCCACAGAACACCAGAAGGTTAAGAGAAAGGCAAGGAACATTAGCCTTCAGAGAGATCATGGTCCTAATGACAACTTGATATTGTATCTTTAGCCTCCAGAACCGTGAGATGATAAATTTCTATTGTTTAAACTCGCTTAGTTTGCAGTAATTTGTTATGGCAAATACCATACAAATTATGTATGAAAACATATACTTATTTTCTACTTCACTTTGACAACTTGATCTATTCATTTTTAATGTATTACACCATATGAACTTTAAAAACGTCTTATTTTAAAACAAGTTTAGATGTTACAAAAAGTTGCATCAATGATACGGAGTTCCCACATATTCTTCACCCAGCTTTCCTTAATGTTCATATCTTGCGTAACAATAGTACAATTATTCAAATCAGGAAATTCTTATTATTACAGTATTATTAACCAAACCTCTGACCTTATTCAAATTTCACCAGCTGTCCCACTAGCACACTTTGTTTAGGGGTCAGGATCCAATCCAGGATTACACATTACATTTAGTTGTCATCAAATGTCAACTCCTTAATGTCATCAAATCTGGGAATTCATTACTTTGACATTTGTAAGGAGTTCGGACCAGTTATATTTATATTTCTCTACTGTAAAGTTACTATACTTTTCCCTTTATAATTGTTAAGTATCTGATAGGGAGATACTTCAAGATTCTTCAAATAACCTGTTTCTCATCTTTTGCCTATTAATTTTAGCATCCATTAATAATCACTGCCTGCAATAATAATTACTATAGTGTTTGCTAATTGCTGATTTCCCATTTCCATCATCCTTTCTACATTTATTCATTGAAATTCTATTAGTACATAAGGAAGAACTATTCCCACTTCCCTATTTATTTATTTACTCAAATATCTGTTTATATCAGTATGGACTCATGTTTATTTGTTTATTCCATGGGTTATAATAGTTTACAATCATTATTTATTTTGCTACTCAAATTATCCCAGGTTTGGACAGTTGGAGCCTCTTATTCCAATCTAAAACGTCAGACTTCATTCTAGCCTTCTCTCCTTCCTTTCTCCAATAGTGAGAAAACTGGCTCTCATTATACAACATATTTACTTACTTGCTGAAGACTAGTACTGTATATACATAGTTTCAGAATTGTTAACCAATATCTGTGAAAAACAAATATTCATATATAGTTTTGTAAGCTACCTCAAATCCTGTTGGGATGAAGACAGGGAAGGAATCAAAATGGAAGGAAGGAAGGAAGGAAGAAAGGAAGGAAGGGATGGAAACACTTAAGTGTTTCTGTATATAAAATCTAGAAATTTCACTATAGCTTATATCAAAAAACATATGCTAGCATATATTAATACCAATTATACCCATATTATATAACTTAGTACCCACACTGTATATGTATAAGAATTAATTTTAGTACCCTTTTCTTTATATAGTTTGGTCAGAATAGGTCTCAAACCAGCAGTGTTGTTCACCCATTCAATAATCCCACATTCATCATTTAGTGGAATAACTGCATATGTTCGAATATGAAGTTCTCTTCTACGAGACTCTGCATCTTTTCTTAAGCACTGTTAAAAAATACACATAAATTTAAAAACAAGATAGAACTCAAAATTTCTAAATGTTATATCAAATATATTTAAAGATTGTTCATTTCATAACCAAAGAATGTCATTGAAGGCTTACTATGTGGTATACATGAATAATTCTTCTGAATGGTAGGAAGGAAGCTACTGGGACAGTATCTCTAATCTATTTACAGATTATTAAAAATGTCCTGGGTAGGTCCTTCTTTTTAATTATTCACTATTAATGTGACAAGAATATTGTATTTAAAATATTTAAGTTGTATATTTAACAATGACAAAATGCTGCTGTTTTATTTTCTATTGCTTTATAGGTATTACTGAAACATTAAGTCTTTAGGCACAGAGACTGCTATTTAATTTTTCTTTTTTTTTTTTGAGATGGAGTCTTGCTCTGTCGCCCAAGCTGGAGTGCAGTGGCTCAATCTCGGCTCACTGCAAACTCTGCCTCTCGGGTTCTTGCCATTCTCCTGCCTCAGCCTCCCGAGTAGGTGGGACTATAGGTGCCTGCCACCACGCCCAGCTAATTTTTTGTATTTTTAGTAGAGACAGGGTTTCACCGTGTTAGCCAGGATGGTCTCGATCTCCTGACCTAGTGATCCGCCTGCCTCGGCCTCCCAAAGTGCTGGGATTACAGGCATGAGCCACTGTGCCCGGCCAATTTTAATTATTTCTAAAATACATAAACAAAAGAGCATGAGTTCTATGACATCCTCAAAATGTATTGCTCCTCTTGCGGTTTATCACAACCTTATTTCTAAAGCTATCCCTTAGCAGAAGAAAGCCTTACATATTTCATCTGATTGATCCTGATATATCAGGTGGAAATAAACAGTATTATGTTTAATTCTAGACCTGTATGAAGTAAGCACACATCTGTAATTGTAACCTGCTCAATTCAAAAGCACAATCACTGATCAAAAATACATTTTACTTTAGGAAATAGGTTCCATAACTACCAGGAAAACAATATGGCCATAGAATCTCATATAAAGATCAGTGTGTGGCCTCCAAAACTAACATAGTTTTTTACAAAACTATGTTAGTAAATATGTTACTAACTAAGTTAGTATGTCAGGCTATTTTATTTTACCATGTTTATGAGGGAAAATGTAACAAAATACTTTAATTAAAGTAACAAAGCTGATTAATGTAAATTTATAAACTAAAGCCAGGCCACTTGATACTCAAGTAAATCTGATACTCAGAAAAACTCAGGGAGCTTTGGAGAGAACATACTAATGGTTCAGTAGTTAGTGAATTAAGGTACCATTTTAACAAACAATACTTTTTTGTTGTTGTTGTTGAGACAGAATCTCACTCTGTCACCCAGGCTGGAGTGCAGTGGCACGATCTGGGCTCACTGCAACCTCCGCCTCCCAGGCTCAACCAATTCTCATGCCTCAGCCTCCCAAGTAGCTGGGAATACTGGCGTACACCACCATGCCTGGCTAATTTTTGTATTTTTAGTAGAGAAAGGTTTTTGCCATGTTGGCCAGGCTGGTCTCGAACTACTGGCCTCAAGTGATCTGCCCGCCTCAGCTGGGATTACAGGCATGAGCCACCACACCCAGCCCAAATAATATGTTAAAATAAAAAATAATCCTCCTTTTCATATTGCTTTTGAAATAGCTTTTTAATGTGGTATTAATTTTTAAATTACTTTTGGTTAAACCAAGCAGACTATAACTTTTTTTAAAAAACAAACTCATCTACTGCTATATCTTTTCTATGCTAAAGATCTATGACTTTAAAATGTGGGAAGGCAATGAGAAGAAGGGAAAAAAAGCTTGTAGAAAAATAATAAAGTTTCATCTTTCCACAGTATAGATCAATTTTTACCAATGGAAAAAGACATACACTATGCATCTACAAATACCTGGTTACAGAATAATTCAAAATACATAAAACCATACATTTATAATAACCCTTTAATAAGATTCCTCATATCATCTTTGAGATAGAAATCAAATACCAACAGAACTGAAAAAATGCTAATGATTACCTTTTATTTATCTATTTATTTATTTATAAGAGTCAGGGTCTTGGCTCTGTCATCTGGGCTAGAGTGCAGTGGCATGATCATAGCTCACTGTAGCCTCAAACTCCTGGGCTCAAACAATCCTCCTGCCTCAGCCTCCTTAGTAGCTGGGACTACAGGCATGTGCCACCATGCCTGGCTAATTTTTTTTATTTTTTGTAGAGACAGGGTTTCACTATATAGGCCAGGCTGGTCTCAAACTCTTGGCCTCAAGTGGTCCTCTTTCCTGGGCCTCCCAAAGTGTTAGGCTTACAGGTATGAGCCACTGCACCCAGCCTATTTATCTTTTGATAAATATATTAACACAATAGCCAAAAGGTAGAAGCATCCAAATGTCCATCACTGGATAAATAGATAAATAAAATGTGGATGGAAAACAATAGACTATTATTCAGCTTAAAGAGGGAGAAAATTCTAACACATGCTGTAAAATGAATGAACTTTGAATAATGCCAAGTGATTTAAGCCAGTCATAAAAGGAGAAATACTGCACTTATATGAGGTACCTCAAATGGTTAAATTAATGGAGACAAAGTAAATGGTGGCTGCTGGAGGCTGAGGAGAAGGGAAATAGGAAGTTAATTGTTTCATAGACACAGAGTTCCAATTTGGGAAGATGAAAAAAGTTTTGGAGAGGGATGGTGGTGATGGTTGTACAACAATGTGAATGTACTTAATGCCACTGAACAATATACTTCAAAAACTGTCAAATGTTAAGTTTTATGTATGTACATTTTATCTCAATAAAAAAATTAAGTGAAAATGAAAAAGACTTTATATTTCATTCCTGCTTTTTAAGAGTGATCTGTTTGTATACTAAAATGCCTATATCAGATTGATAGTAATTATAGCAACTCTGAAATAAAAGCAATCTGGTTTTATAATAGTCAAAAATTTTTTTAAAATAAAAAATAAATAAATAAAATAAAAGCAAACTATCTCCCAACCTTATTAATCAAGGAATTGAATTCCATTAGTCTACAATCCTTTCTCAGGTCATCTTTTGGCTTACACATCATGATGTAGAACTTTCCATCTGAGCCTTTTAAAGAAATCTTCTTTGGTTTCTGAAGAGAAGCAAGAATTTCCACCTAAAAGATGATGAGTTATATATGAATTAGGGCCAAAAATTTCTGTGTAAATGTCTATATATTATAAACCTTGAGTTATGTAAAAAAAAAAAAAGAATATTACCAGCTATATTATGTAGTGAATTTGTATTTTAAAAATCTTTTATTTTAATTATCTATGACCTATGAAAAGAATGACTGTCTATGAACAGAAACATTTTCACCCATTAAAAATAGCTATGACATAAAAAGATTACTTCATCGCCAATACAAGTACTTACATATTCAAATTTAGACACCCCCCTTCAAAGCAGTCAAAATGTTTAAAAGATTTTTGAAACATCTTTTCAGGATCTTTCTGCGGAGCCTGAGACTCTGTTTTTCAAGCTTTATCAATTAAAAGTAGTTTGATTTTTGAAAAAACAAACTCCTTCAAAATTAAGTGTACCTAATGAAGTGAGTAAATAAGATGAATAATACTGCTTAAATTAAAAACAAAGCATAGACTGGGTACAGTGGCTCATGTTTGTTACACTAACACTTGGGAAGGCTGAGCAGGAGAATGGCTTGAGCCTAGGAGTTCAAGACTAGCCTGGGCAACATGACGAAACCCCGTATCTACAAAAAATTTAAAAAATTAGCTGGGCATGGTGACATGCACCTGTAGTCCCAGCTACTCAGGAGGCTGAGGTGAGCAAATTGCTTGAGCCTAAGAGGCAGAGGTTGCAGTGAGCTGAGATCGCACCACTGTATTCCACCCAACCCGGGCAACAGAATGAGACCCTGTTTCCAAAAAAAAAAAAAAAGAAAAGAAAAGAAAAATCAAATTGTGAAAAAATAAAGATTATAGTCATACTAAAACAACAGGAGCATTTGAAAAATCAAAACGTTACGGTGAATGTGAATCATGAATCAGAACTTTTTTTAATCACTGAATTTTTTTGCCATCAGTACAAATGAGTTTAGTTTTACTCTTCTGTATTTCCAATTATTTTTCTTCACAAATAAGATTCACGTAGATTTTGTGAAATACACTTTTTATCTTAATTTGAAGTTTTTAACAACTAAATTTTAAAATCATAGTCATATAAAACTGAAGTTTACCATATCATCAAACCCTGCAATATAGGCCCAATGTCCAGGAAATGGTTCATGGCTAGCATGGTTAGCATGGGTACCCAGAATTGATGGAAGTGTAGGTATCATGACTGATTGTAGAGGAATGAGGATTTCACTAAATGTTGCTTCTTCTACCAGCTTTTTAAGCATTTTAAAATGAGTGCTCATGCTTAATGTGGAACTACTTCCATCAACCTGAAAAAATAAATAGTGCATTTTAATTTGTTTTTACCTTAAATTCCACTATAACAAAAATTTCACTTTTACAATATTTTGATTACAAAGGTTCAGCAGTCTGTGGTTTTCTAAGTATTTCCTAATCATCCCATTTTAACCTCTGTCATTTACCTCATTAATAATAGTACCTACATCATAGGATTGTTTAATGATTAAAGGAGAGAGTAGAGGCCTATAATCTATTATCAAATATTAGAAAATCCAAAGAGCTCTGTAAATTAAACTCTCACTGAAGAAACAGTTATGTGTTTGATTATGGGATACTCCAACAGGTTACCCTCAGTGGAAATATCAAATATTAAATATGCACTAAAATCTTAAAAATCCTAAATTTCTAAGTGTAGCTTGCCACAAAGGTTTCAGATAAAGAACTGGAAACCTGTACATGTAAAGCACTTACAACAGTGTTAGTGTTTTAATAAATGTTGGCCACCATAACACTGTTTTTGATAATGTCAAGTGCATCAGAGGTCAAATGGGATTAATGGAGATAATAAATGCAGATTACCCTTTTGAGATGTTTATTGATAAAGGAAAGGTGAGAAATAGTCTGTATCTTTTCATCTATAAACACTGATGCACTCTGAATATTTGTCAAGTGAAGTCTAGCTATGTACCTTATTAAAGAACTTCTCTCTCCCTCCTTATAACCACCCCCACCTCCCACTTTTATCTTTCCTATACATCCTTGGGGGTTTTTCTCTAATACTTAGGTAGAATTATGGGGTTACTCCTGTAACCATGTTCCTACTTTAGTCACAAATCTACCGAAAAAAGTACTTATTACTCTAGATAACCATCTGCTTAGTTCCCTAAAAGACTGTAAGCACCTCAGGCATGAGAATAGATTTTATTCATCTTGTTTCCCTTAGCATAGTGCTTGTCCCCTCATAGGCACTGAAATGTGTACTAAAAGAATGAAAAGCAAAACCCCAACCCTCTTCCCTATCGTAAGTGTAGTTTAATAATGTATATGAATTTTGAAAGTTTAAAGATATGATATAATCATAGACTACCATAAGTAACTTAGAATATTTTACATACTTATATTTTTATGGCTTATTTCATATTCTCTACTAAAAATTGCTGAGAAACATGGATATCTACTCTCGGAAAATTCTTAATTCACACTAAGAAGAACTTTTAGAAATATTAGAGGGTATTTGGAAGTAAGATGTATTAGAAATATTAAAAACTGCTTTATTAAGACAAATCATACATAATTAAAATATACATTTTGATATATGTGTACACCTATAGTTAGAATTTTAATTTAATTAATCAAATGAAAAAATCTGCTCAAATTATATACATAATTACCCAACATCAGTTTATAAGCACTAAGATTATGATAGTACCGGTTTATTGCACAATTCTAGAAGCTTATCTGTTAGGCGAGTTGCATCTCCAACAAACTTCTCTAAGGATTTTTTCATATGAATAGCTTTATTGAGGATTTCCTTGCATCTGTTCACACGCATGGGATAAGATGACTGTCATAAAAAAGAGTTAAATGTCATAAAAAAGAGTTTATACAGGATTTTTAAAAGATAAATTTTTTGCTTGACAAAAAACTTAAAAAGTATTCATGATGAGAGTTTATATGATACAAATTTTCTGAAAATTTATTTGGCAATGCTATCAAGAGCCATACAAATATTGCCACCCTATAACTTTGTGAATTATAAAGTTATAGGGATCTGCCCTGGAGAAATAATTACAAGTGAGAATAAACATAGACATATCTAGATGTGTTACAATTGCAAGAAAAATAGAAATAACCTTAATGATTAACTAAACAGTTAAATAAGTTATTGAAGGCTATTTTTTAGAATTTTATATATTAAAATTATATCTTCAAATTATATTTAATAACATGGAAACAATAAAGTGAAAAATATGAAATTGTACGGCAACATAATTAAATTTAGTGTTAAAATATGCTAGAAAATATACAAATAAAATTACATCAAAACATTAATGAATGGCCCAAGGTGTGAATTTTAATTTTTGTTTTATGTCTCTGTATTGTCTAAATTCTCTAAACATTTACTTATTACATATATTGACCAACATATGAATTCCCATTAATGATGCAATAACGGTTTTTTAGTATTAATAATTCAGGTACTGGCGGGGCACGATAGCTCATGCCTGTAATTCCAGCACTTTGGGAGGCCAAAGCAGAAAGATCACTTGAGCCCAAGAGTTTGAGCCCAGCCTGAGCAACACAGCAAGATCCCATCTCTACAAAAAGAATTTAAAAATTAACTGTACATGGTGACACACCGCTATCATCCTAGCTACTGGGAAGCTGAGGCAAGAGGATCACTTGAACCCAGGACTTTGAGGCTGCACTGAGCTATGATCCCACCACTGCATTCCAGCCTGGGCAACAGAGAAAGATCCTGTTTCTTAAGGGAAAAAAAATAAAAATTCAGGTAGTTTGGATTAAAATATTTGTGAAAACATAGGTAACCATTTTGCATCAAGCATTAACTGTTTACTAGACTTCATAAAGAAAACACATGCTGAATTATTTGATCTTAAACATACTAGTTACTTCATTTCATATGGTAAATATATCCAAATATTAAGATATAATGCTATAAATTTCTCTCTTTAAAAAAATATTTAAAATTACTAATCTAATACAGGAGAGACGCCCTGGAACTTGTATCTACATATTAGTATTACATAATCAAGTTCATATAAAATGGTAAAAGATCTTTTCATATAAAAAGGTAAAAGACCCTTTTACCTTTGACACAGCTGTCATCATCCACATTGCTTGTTGAGGATAGGCTAGAAATACTTTGGCTATTATTTCCATCAAGACAACAAAAACTTCATCGTGAGAATGACAAATTCGAGAGATCAATTGTGAAAAAGCAGTCAAAAATTGATATGGAGCTAAATAGTTTGTATGCTCTGTGATAACCTTGTTTATTTTACCCAAATCATTCCTCATTTGTACACGATCGGAGCGGCCAGCTGGGGGAAGAAATAAGTTTAAAAAACAATAAAGGAAAGAGAAAAATCAGTATATCAGTTCATTTCACAGAAGAAAAATTTTGCTTTAAAAATAGCTTTAAAGTATGTTATTCCCATGCCCAAGGTTAGGTCACTTGCCAATTTGTGAAAAGATAGTTGTCTCTGTCCAACCAGAAAAAATATTTAGAGCCATTCAAAAACCCAAGGGACATTAATTTTCACTATCCATTTTAATTTTTAGGGTAAATTATTTGGCTAAAACTAACACATTTTAATATGTGTTAGATTCATTAAGAAATAATCAGATTTGTATTTGTGGCCCTGAATTAAAACTACTTTAAAAGTCTATGATTTGTCTTTCCTTTTTAACATTTAGTATCTTACTCACACTTACATAATATCTTAATTATCAAATTCATTCCAAGCTTCTAGGAAATTAGACTGTCCAGCCAAATCTGACTTTATACCAAAGTTATAATTCCTAGTCCTTTAAAACTTTTACGTGAAGAGTTATACCTTTTTCCCATTCATATGCCTTTGTACCATAATCAAGCCATAGAGTTAACATTCGTGGCATTGACTGATATATGAACTGATTTCCATATTGTAGAGATCTGCAATTATATAGACAAGAAACACTATTAGCATAGCTGTCATTTTTATATTATACGAATTAAAATTTAAAGATTCAAACTACCACATACCGTTTTCACAAAAATTATGGTATCAATATTTCTTCCTAGAAGTTATTTTTGACTCCTCTGTCTCCTTTTTAGCTCACTTAGTTCTACATTCCCTGTACCAAAAACATGTACATACTGTATGTTTCCACTTACAGTATACAGAATTTGTACATTATACAAATTCTGCTCTAATCAAAGTCTATCAATACTTCTTTCAATTTTTCCTTAGGATCTCTGTGCCTTCATTTGCATTCTTTGGCCATAAGCCTAGGTTAGGTCCAATCATTCTATTTCTGGGAAATTATAATAACTTGGTCACCCTAAATCCATATTTCTACCCTTCAGTAAATTCCAGACTAACATTCCTGAAATTCTGGCTTTATCATGCTCTCCCCTTATTAAAAAACAGGAATCAATACCTACATATTAAAACTATATAAATGATTCTGCCTGGGATTCAAACATTCAGAATCTTTTATCTCCATAATTTTCCAATCTTAGCATCTTGCCACTCACCAGTATACATCTTCCATCAGGTCTAGTTTCTGCACCATCCTACAAACCAACCACTCAACGCTGTTTCTGGTAAAATTTGTGAAAAGTTAAAGTTCTCTCCTTCTTGAATTTTTTAGGGGCCTGGACATCAGTTTATTTTCAAAAGAAATTTTATTGTGGTAAAACATACATAACATAAAATTTGCCATCACAACCATTTTTAAGTGTACAGTTCAGTGTTATATTAATATGGTTGTACATTCACATTGTTGCGTAATCATCACCACCATTCCCCCTCCAGAACTTTTTTCATCTTCCCAAATTGGAACCTCGTACCTATTAAACAGTAACTTCCCGTCTCCTTCCCCACCCAGTCTCTGGCAACCACCATTGTACTTTCTGTCTTCATGAATTTGACCATTGAAGGTACCTCATATAAGTGGAAACATACAGTATTTGTCCTTTTTGTGACTGGCTTATTTCACTTAGCATAATGTCCTCGAGGTTCATCTATGTTGTACCATATGTCAGAATTTCCTTCCTTTTTAAAGCAGAATAATATTCCATTGTGTCTACATCACATTTTGCTGATCAATTAATCTCCCAATGAACTCTTGCACTGCTTTCATGTTTTAGCTATTATGAATAATGTTGCTATGAACACGAATGTACAGATATCTTTTTGAGACCCATAGAGACAGTTTAATGACATAGAATTGCATTTACCATTCTACAACTATAGAAGAAGTGGGGACTTTCTTTTCCCCTTCTTATTTTGTCAAGATTAATTTAACCAGAAATTAGGAGAGCTAGCAGGTTTTTTTAAAGGTGCACAACATAATGTTTTTGTTTTTAAACATTTCATTTATTTATTTAAATCAACAAATAAAAATTGTGTATATTTATTGTGCACATGTTTTGAAACATGTATACATTGTGGAAGAGCTAAACCAAGCTAACTCACGCATGCTAATTATTTCACATATTTATTTTGTTGTGGAATAAAATCTATTCTCAGCAATTTTCAATACAAAACATTTGTTAACTATAGTGACCATGTTGTAGAGTAGATCTCTTTAACTTATTCCTTCTATTTAACTGAAGTTTTATGTCCTTTGACCAACATCTCCCCAACTCCTCACTACTCCAACCCCTGGTAATCACCATTCTACTCTCTAGTTCTATGAGTTCAACATTTTTAGATTCTACATATAAGTAAGATAATTCAGTATTAATCTTTCTGTGCCAGGCTTACTTCACTTAGAATAATCTCCAGGTTCATCCATCTTCGCACAAATAACAGGATTCCTTCTTTTTTAAGCCTGAATAGTATTCCATTGTGTGTGTGTGTGTGTGTGTGTGTGTGTGTGTGTGTGTATAAGTATACATACATATGCCACATTTTCTTTATTCATTCCCATGTTGATGGACACTTAGTTTGATTCCATAGCTTGGCTGTTGTGAAGATGCTGCAATGAACATGGGAGTGCAGATATCTCTTCAACATATTGATTTAATTTCCTTTAGATATATACCCCATAATGGGATTGCTAGATCATATGATATTTCTATTTTTAATTTTTAAGGAATCTCCATACTGTTTTCCATAATGGCTCTACTAATTTACCTTCCCACCAACAGTGTATAAGGGTTCCCTTTTCCCCATATCCTCTCCAATGCTTGTTATCTTTTGTCTTTTATATGATAGCCATTCAAACAAGTGTGAGGTGACATCTCATTGTGGTTTTAATTTGCATTTATCTGATGATTAACGATGCCGAACTTTTTTTATATACCTCTGTTGGTCATTTTTATGTCTTCTTTTGAAATATGTCTGCTCAGACCCTTTTCCCATTTTTTTTAATTGGGTAATTTGTTTCCTTTTTTCTATTTTTATTTTTATTTTTTCAGACAGGATCTGGCTCTGTTGCCTGGGCTGGAGTGCAGTGATATGATCCTGGCTCACTGCAACCTCCACCTCCTAGGCTAAAGTGATGCCCCTGCCTCAGCCTCCTGAGCAGCTGGGACTGCAGGTGCATACCACCACGCCCGAATAATTTTTGTATTTTTTTGTAGAGATGGGGGTTTCACCATGTTGCCCAGGCTGGTCTTGAACTCCTGGGCTCAAACGATCCATCTGCCTGAGCCTCTCAAAGTGCTGGGATTACATGCATGAGCCACCATGCCTGGCCAGGTGATTTGCTTTCTTACTATTAAGTTGTTTGAGTTCCTTACCTATTTTGGCTATTAACCCCCTATCAGATGTGTGGTTTGCAAATACATTCTCCCATTCTATAGGTTGTCTTTTCACTCTGTTGATTGTTTCCTTGGCTATGCAGAAGTCTTTTGGTTTGTATAATATCATTTGTCTATATTTGCTTTTGTTGGCTGTGCTTTTTGGTTCATATCCAAAAAAATTATTGCCCAAACCAATGCCATGAACCTTTTCCTCTATGTTTTCTTCTAGTAGTTTTACAGCTTCAGGTCTTACATTTAAGTTTTTAAGCCATTTTGAGTTGATTTTTGTATATGGTGTAAGGTAAGAGTGTAATTCCATTCTATTGCATGTGGACATCCAGTTGTCCCAACACCATTTATTGAAGAGACTGTCCTTTCTGCATTGTGGGTTCTTGGCACCTTTGTCAAAGATCAATTGACTGTAAATGCGTGGATTCATTTCTAGGGTCTCTGTTCCACTGGTCTATGTAGCCATTTTAATACTAATGTCATACTGTTTTGATTATTATAGCTTTGTGGTATAATTTTGAAGTCAGGTAGTGTGATGCCTTCAGCTTTATTCTTTTTTTTTTTTTTTAGAGACATAGTCTCAGTCTGTCACCCAGGCTGGAGTGCAATGGCACAATCTCGGCTCACTGTAACCTCCACCTCCCGGGTTCCAGCAACTCTCCTGCCTCAACCTCCTGAGTAGCTAGGATTACAGGTGCATGCCACCATGCCCAGCTAATTTTCTGTATTTTAGTAGAGATGGGGTTTCACCGTGTTGCCCTGGCTGATCTTGAACTCCTGAGCTCAGGCAATCCACCCACCTCAGCCTCGCTATGATTACAGGTGTGAGCCACCACGCCCGGCCAGCTTTGTTCTTGCTCAAGATTTCTTTGGTTATCTGAGGTCTTTTCTAGGTCCATACAAATTTTAGGATTTTTTTTTCTACTTCTGTGAAAAAAGTTATTGGATTTTTTTTTTTTTTTTTTTGAGACTCCCAGTCTGGAGTGCAGAGGCACGATCTTGGTTCACTGTAACCTCCGCCTCCTGGGTTCAAGCAATTTTCCTGCCTCAGCCTCCCTAGTAGCTGGGATTACAGATGTGTGCCACCATGCCTGGCTAATTTTTGTATTTTCAGTAGAGACTAGGTTTCACTATGTTGGCCAGGCTGGTCTCAAACTCCTGACCTCAAGTGATCCACCTGCCTCAGTTTCCCAAAGTGCTGGGATTATGGGTGTGAGCCACTGTGCCCAGCCAGAATTTTTAAACAAAACAAAACAAAAAAAAAAGGAAAGAAAGAATAAGCTATTGGAATTCTGATAGAAACTACATTGAATCTGTAGATCACTTTGGGCACTATGAACATTTTAATAATATTAATTCTTCCAATACATAAACAGGATATCTTTCCATTTGTTCATGTCTTCTTCAATTTCTTTTCATCAATGTTTTATAGTTTTCATTGTATAGGTCTTTTGCCTTGTATTTATTCCCAAGTATTATATTTTATTTTTGTAGCTACTGTAAATGAGATTGTCTTCTTAATTTATCTGCAAGTACTCTGTTATTAGTGTATAGAAATGCTACTTACTTTTGTATGTTGCCTTTATATCCTGCAACTTTATTGAATTCATTTATTTGTTCTAATAGTCTTTTATTGGAGTCTTAGGGTTTCAGTATATAAAATCATGTCGTCTGCAAATAGAAAAAAATTGATGACTTCTTTTCCAATTTGGATGCCTTTTATTTATCTCTCTTCTCGAATTGCTATGGCTAGGATTCCTGGTACTATATTGAATATAAGTGGCAAGAGTGGGCATCTTTGTCTTAATCTTAGAGGAAAAGCTTTGAACTTTTCACCACTGAGTATGATGTTATCTTTGGGGTTATCATACATGGTCTTTACTGTGTTGAGGTACATTCCTTCTATACATATTTTTTTTTTAAAAAAAGTTTGTTTTTTTTTAAAAAGCCTCTTTTATTTTAAAAAACAAAGGAATGAAAAACACAAAATTGGGAATAGTGGTTGCCTCCAGGGATAGAGGGGTGACATAAAGGTTAGACTAGATTAATGGATGTTCATTCTATTATTATGCTTTACAACTTATATACATGTTATGTTTTATATATATATGTTTTTAATTATACTTTAAGTTATAGAGTACATGTGCACAACGTGCAGGTTTTTAGATATGTATACATGTGCCATGTTGGTGTGCTGCACCCATTAACTCGTCATTTAACATTAGGTATATCTCCTAATGCTATCCCTCCCCCAGCCCCTCACCCCACAACAGGCCCCAGTGTGTGATGTTCCCCTTCCTGTGTCCAAGTGTTCTCATTGTTCAATTCCCAGCTATGAATGAGAACATGCGGTGTTTGGTTTTTTGTCCTTCGATAGTTTGCTGAGAATGATGGTTTCCAGCTTCATCCATGTCCCTACAAAGGACATGAACTCATCCTTTTTTATGGCTGCATAGTATTCCATGGGGTATATGTGCCACATTTTCTTAATCCAGTCTATCATTGTTGGACATTTGGGTTGGTTCCAAGTCTTTGCTATTGTGAATAGTGCCGCAATAAACATACATGTGCATGTGTCTTTATAGCAGCATGATTTATATTCCTTTGGGTATATACCCAGTAATGGGATGGCTAGGTCAAATGGTATTTCTAGTTCTAGATCCCCGAGGAACCGCCACAATGACTTCCACAATGGTTGAACTAGTTTACAGTCCCAACAACAGTGTAAACGTGTTCCTATTTCTCCACATCCTCTCCAGCACCTGTTGTTTCCTGACTTTTTAATGATCGCCATTCTAACTGGTGTGAGATGGTATCTCATTGTGGTTTTGATTTGCATTTCTCTGATGGCCAGTGATGATGAGCATTTTTTTCATGTGTCTGTTGGCTGCATAAATGTCTTCTTTTGAGAAGTGTCTGTTATATCCTTCGCCCACTTTTTGATGGGGTTGTTTTTTTCTTGTAAATTTGTTTGAGTTCTTTGTAGATTCTGGATATTAGCCCTTCGTCAGATGAGTAGATTGCAAAAATTTTCTCCCATTCTGTAAGTTGCCTGTTCACTCTGATGGTAGTTTCTTTTGCTGTGCAGAAGCTCTTTAGTTTAATTAGACCCCATTTGTCAATTTTGGCTTTTGTTGCCATTGCTTTTGGTGTTTTAGACATGAAGTCCTTGCCCATGCCTATGTCCCAAATGGTATTGCCTAGGTTTTCTTCTAGGGTTTTTACGGTTTTAGGTCTGACATTTAAGTCTTTAATCCATCTTGAATTAATTTTCGTATAAGGTGTAAGGAAGGATCCAGTTTCAGCTTTCTACATACAGCTAGCCAGTTTTCCCAGCATCATTTGTTAAATAGGGAATCCTTTCCCCATTTCTTGTTTTTGTCAGGGTGGTCGAAGATCAGATAGTTGTAGATGTGTGGCATTATTTCTGAGGGCTCTGTTCTGTTCCATTGGTCTATATCTCTGTTTTGGTACCAGTACCATGCTGTTTTGGTTACTGTAGCCTTGTAGTATAGCTTGAAGTCAGGTAGCGTGATGCCTCCAGCTTTGTTCTTTTGGCTTAGGATTGACTTGGCAATGCAGGCTCTTTTTTGGTTTCATATGAACTTTAAAGTAGTTTTTTCCAATTCTGTGAAGAAAGTCATTGGTAGCTTGATGGGGATGGCATTGAATCTATAAATTACCTTGGGCAGTATGGCCATTTTCACGATATTGATTCTTCCTATCCATGAGCATGGAATGTTCTTCCATTTGTTTGTGTCCTCTTTTATTTCCTTGAGCAATGGTTTGTAGTTCTCCTTGAAGAGGTCCTTCACATCCCTTGTAAGTTGGATTCCTGGGTATTTTATTCTCTTTGAAGCAATTGTGAATAGGAGTTCACTCATGATTTGGGTCTCTGTTTGTCTGTTATTGGTGTATAAGTATGCTTGTGATTTTTGCACATTGATTTTGTATCCTGAGACTTTGGTGAAGTTGCTTATCAGCTTAAAGAAATTTGGGGCTGAGATGATGGGGTTTTCTAGATATACAATCATGTCGTCTGCAAACAGGGACAATTTGACTTCCTCTTTTCCTAGTTGAATGCCCTTTATTTCTTTCTCCTGCCTGATTGCCCTGGCCAGAACTTCCAACACTATGTTGAATAGGAGTGGTGAGAGAGGGCATCCCTGTCTTATGCCAGTTTTCAAAAGGAATGCTTCCAGTTTTTGCCCATTCAGTATATTGGCTGTGAGTCTGTCATAAATAGCTCTTATTATTTTTAGATATGTCCCATCAATACCTAATTTATTGAGAGTTTTTAGCATGAAGGGCTGTTGAATTTTGTCAAAGGCCTTTTCTGCATCTATTGACATAATCATGTGGTTTTTGTCTTTGCTTCTGTTTATAGGATGGATTACATTTGTTGATTTGTGTATGTTGAACCAGCCTTACATCCCAGGGATGAAGCCCACTTCATCATGGTGGATAAGCTTTTTGATGTGCTGCTGGATTCGGTTTGCCAGTATTTTATTGAGGATTTTTGCATCAATGTTCATCAGGGATATTGGTTTAAAATTCTCTTTTTTTGTTGTGTCTCTGCCAGGCTTTGGTATCAGGATGATGCTGGCCTCATAAAATGAGTTAGGGAGGACTCCCTCTTTCTCTATTGATTGAAATAGTTTCAGAATGAATGGTACCAGTTCCTCCTTGTACCTCTGGTAGAATTCGGCTGTGAATCCATCTGGTCCTGGACTTTTTTTGGTTGGTAAGCTATTAATTATTGCCTCAATTTCAGAGCCTGTTATTGGTCCATTAAGAGATTCAACTTCTTCCTGGTTTAGTCTTGGGAGGGTGTATGTGTCCAGGAATTTATCCATTTCTTCTAGATTTTCTAGCTTATTTGCATAGAGGTGTTTATAGTATTCTCTGATGGTAGTTTGTATTTCTGTGGGATCGGTGATATCCCCTTTAACATTTTTTATTGCATCTATTTGATTCTTCTCTCTTTTCTTCTTTATTAGTCTAGCTAGCAGTCTATCAATTTTGTTGATCTTTTCCAAAAACCAGCTCCTGGATTCATTGATTTTGTGAAGGGTTTTTTGTGTCTCCATCTCCTTCAGCTCTGCTCTGACCTAAGTTATTTCTTGCCTTCTGCCAGCTTTTGAATGTGTTTGCTCTTGCTTTTCTAGTTCTTTTAATTGTGATGTTAGGGTGTCAATTTTAAATCTTTCCTGCTTTCTCTTGTGGGCATTTAGTGCTATAAATTTCCCTCTACACACTGCTTTAAATGTGTCCCAGAGATTCTGGTATGTTGCGTCTTTGTTCTCGTTGGTTTCAAAGAATATCTTTATTTCTGCCTTCATTTCGTTATGTACCCAGTAGTCATTCAGGAGCAGGTTGTTCAGTTCCCATGCAGTTGAGCAGTTTTGATTGAGTTTCTTAATCCTGGGTTCTAGTTTGATTGCACTGTGGTCTGAGAGACAGTTTGTTATAATTTCTGTTCTTTTACATTTGCTGAGGAGTGCTTTACTTCCAACTATGTGGTCAGTTTTGGAATAGGTGTGGTGTGGTGCTGAGAAGAATGTATATTCTGTTGATTTGGGGTGGAGAGTTCTGTAGATGTCTATTAGGTCTGCTTGGGGCAGAGCTGAATTCAATTCCTGGATATTCTTGTTAACCTTCTGTCTCGTTGATCTGTCTAATGTTGACAGTGGGGTGTTAAAGTCTCCCATTATTATTGTGTGCGAGTCTAAGTCTCTTTGTGGGTCTCTTGGACTTGCTTTATGAATCTGGGTGCTCCTGTATTGGGTGCATATATATTTAGGATAGTTAGCTCTTCTTGTTGAATTGATCCCTTTACCATTATGTAATGGCCTTCTTTGTCTCTTTTGATCTTTGTTGGTTTAAAGTCTGTTTTATCAGAGACTAGGATTTCAACCCCTGCCTTTTTTTGTTTTCCATTTGCTTGGTAGATCTTCCTCCATCCTTTTATTTTGAGCCTATGTGTGTCTCTGCACGTGAGATGGGTCTCCTGAATACAGCACACTGATGGGTCTTGACTCTATCCAATTTGCCAGTCTGTGTCTTTTAACTGGAGCATTTAGCCCATTTACATTTAAGGTTAATATTGTTATGTGTGAATTTGATCCTCTCAGTATGATGTTAGCTGGTTATTTTGCTCGTTAGTTGATGCAGTTTCTTCCTAGCATCGATGGTCTTTACAATTTGGCATGTTTCTGCAGTGGCTGGTACCGATTGTTCCTTTCCATGTTTAGTGCTTCCTTCAGGAGCTCTTTTAGGACAGGCCTGGTGGTGACAAAATCTCTCAGCATTTGCTTGTCTGTAAAGGATTTTATTTCTCCTTCACTTTTGAAGCTTAGTTTGGCTGGATATGAAATTCTGGGTTGAAAATTCTTTTCCTTAAGAATTTTGAATATTGGCCCCCACTCTCTTCTGGCTTGTAGAATTTCTGCCGAGAGATCAGCTGTTAGTCTGATGGGGTTCCCTTTGTGGGTAACCCGACCTTTCTCTCTGGCTGCCCTTAACGTTCGTTCCTTCATTTCAACTTTGGTGAATCTGACAATTATGTGTCTTGGAGTTGCTCTTCTCGAGGAGTATCTTTGTGGCGTTCTCTGTATTTCCTGAATTTGAATGTTGGCCTGCCTTGCTAGGTTGGGGAAGTTCTCCTGGATTATATCCTGCAGAGTGTTTTCCAACTTGTTTCCATTTCCCCATCACTTTCAGGTACACCAATCAGACATAGATTTGGTCTTTTCACATAGTCCCATATTTCTTGGAGGCTTTGTTCGTTTCTTTTTATTCTTTTTTCTCTAAACTTCTCTTCTCGCTTCATTTCATTCATTTGATCTTCAATCACTGATACCCTTTCTTCCAGTTGATCGAATCGGCTACTGAAGCTTGTGCATTCGTCACGTAGTTCCTGTGCCGTGGATTTCAGCTCCATCAGGTCCTTTAAGGATTTCTCTGCATTGGTTATTCTAGTCAGCCATTCGTCTAATCTTTTTTCAAGGTTTTTAACTTCTTTGCCATGGGTTCCAACTTCCTCCTTTAGCTCGGAGAAGTTTGATCATCTGAAGCCTTCTTCTCTCAACTCGTCAAAGTCATTCTCTGTCCAGCTTTGTTCCGTTGCTGGTGAGGAGCTGCGTTCCTTTGGAGGAGGAGAGGCCCTCTGATTTTTAGAATTTTCAGTTTTTCTGTTCTGTTTTTTCCCCATCTTTGTGGTTTTATCTACCTTTGGTCTTTGATGATAGTGACGTACAGATGCGGTTTTGGTGTGGATGCCCTTTCTGTTTGTTAGTTTTCCTTTTAACAGTCAGGACCCTCAGCTACAGGTCTGTTGGAGTTTGCTGGAGATCCACTCCAGACTCTGTTTGCCTGGGTATCAGCAGCGGAGGCTGCAGAACAGCAAATATTGCTGAACAGCAAATGTTGCTGTCTGATTGTTCCTCTGGAGGTTTCGTCTCAAAGGGGTACCCGGCCGTGTGAGGTGTCAGTCTGCCCCTACTGGGGGATGCCTCCCAGTTAGGCTACTCAGGTGTCAGGGTCCCACTTGAGGAGGCAGTCTGTCAGTGCTCAGATCTCAAACTCCGTGCTGGGAGAAGCACTACTCTCTTCAAAGCTGTCAGACAGGGACATTTAAGTCTGCAGAGGTTTCTGCTGCCTTTTGTTCAGCTATGCCCTGCCCCCAGAGGTGGAGTCTACAGAGGCAGGCAGGCCTCCTTGAGCTGCAGTGGGCTCCACCCAGTTCCAGCTTTCCAGCCACTTTGTTTACCTACTCAAGCCTCAGCAATGGCGGGCACTCCTCCCCCAGCCTTGCTGCCGCCTTGCAGTTCGATCTCAGACTGCTATGCTAGCAATGAGAGAGGCTCCGTGGGCATGGGACCTTCAGAGCCATGCACGGGATATAATCTCCTGGTGTGCTGTTTGCTAAGACCATTGGAAAAGCGCAGTATTAGGGTGGGAGTGACCTGATTTTCCAGGTGCCATCTGTCACAGCTTTGCTTGGCTATGAAAAGGAATTCCCTGACCCCTTGCACTTCCCAGGTGAGGCAATGCCTTGCCCTGCTTCGGCTCATGCTCGGTGCGCTGCACCCACTGTCCTGCACCCACTGTCTGACAAGCCCCAGTGAGATGAACCCGGTACCTCAGTTGGAAATGCAGAAATCACCCATCTTCTGCGCTGCTCATGCTGGGAGCTGTAGACTGGAGCTGTTCCTATTCGGCCATCTTGGAACCGCCCCTCTGAAACTTTTTAGTCATAAAAGGATGTTGAATTTTGTCAAGTGCTTTCTCTGCATCTATTGAGATGAGATGATCATATGGTTTTTGTCCTTCATTCTATTAATGTGGTATATCAAATATATGTATTTGGATATGTTGAACCATCCTTGCATTCTGGAGTAAATTCCACTTGGTCATGGTGAATGATCCTTTTAATGTGCTGTTGAATTTGGATTACTAGTATACCTTCTTCATGAGGTTTACCAGACTTTTGTAGCAATTCAATGCAAAGAAGTACACTTTTGAAATCATAAAGCCAGTGGCTTGTGGCTTGACTTTTGACCTCCATGACTTCTGGACTTGTTTGGTTCACTTTTGGTATCTGGCTAATATAGCCTCCCACATAGCTGGGACCATGGTTGTACACCCTATGCCTGGCTGATTTATTTATTTTTTGTAGAGATGAGGTCTTGCCATGTTCCCTAGGCTTTTCTTGAACTCCTGGGCTCAAGCAATCCTTCCATTTCAGCATCCCAAAATTCTGGGATTACAGGCATTAATCACCGTGCCCAGCCATATCTGATATTTACTACATTTATTTTGATTTATTTATTTATTTTTTTTTTGAGATAGAGTCTTTCTCTGTCACCCAGGCAGGAGTGCAGTGGCATGATCATAGCTCTCCGCAATCTCCACCTCCTGGGCTCAAGCAATCCTCTTGGCTTAGCTTCCCTTGTAGCTGGGACCACAGGTGTGCACCACCATGCCTGGATAATTTTTGTATTTTTTTTGGTAGAGATGGGTTCTTACCATGTTGCTCTGGCTGGTTTTGAACTCATGGGCTCAAGCAATCTGCCTGCCTCAGCCTCCCAAAATTCTGAGGTTACAGACATGAGCCACTGAGCCCAGCCTATTTTGATATCTAATCACACATTCTATTATGTACCATTATTTAAATGTTTTATGTACTTAAGGTTTCTAACCCTAATTGGATCCTAGATTCTTAAGGGCAAACATTGATATTTAATCAGTAATAACACAATTATTCAGTCAGGGGATAAATATGTCTCAATAGCTAAGTTTACTCCCTTAAGCATACAAATATTTTATTTTAACTACTATGGATAGAAACAGGTTTTAAAATGTACTTACATTCCTGAAGGGTACTTTAAAAATACTCACTATACATAACAGTTTTATGCATATAGAGGACTTTATATAGCCACTTGTTTTAAAAGAAATGTGTTAAGTAAATTCTATATCCCAAGGCACATGATATATACTAAGACTAAAGAGCAAACAAAAGAAGCTATTACTCATTTTTCAAAAGAACTGGGCCAAGAGTGATGGCTCACACCTGTAATCTCAGAGCGTTGGGAGGCTGAGGTGGGAAGATTGCTTGAGGCCAGGAGCTCAAGATCAGCCTGAGCAACATAGTGAGACCCTGTCTCTACAAAAAATTATTTAAAAACATAGTTGGGCATGGTGGCATGTGCCTATAGTCCTAACTACTAAGGAGGCTGAGGCAGGAGGATCACTTGAGCCCAGAGTTCAAGGTCATAGTTAGCTATGATTGTACTGCACTCCTGCCTCAGTGACAGAGTGATACTTTGTCAATTAAAAAAAAAAAAAAAGAAGAACTGCCTTTAGTACCTTTACTCATTTTGCTACCCTAATACCATTGATGATGAACAAATATTGCTTTTTTTTTCCATTTTTTTTCTCGTGTGACACAGCCCTCAGGAGATCCTGAGAACATATGCCCCCTTTCTTTCTTTTTTTTTTTTCTTTCTTTCTTTTTTTTTTTTTGAGACAGGGTCTTGCTCTGTTATCCAGGCTGCTGTGCAGTGGTGCAATCACAGCTCACCACTGCCTTGACGTCCCAGGTTCAGGTAATCCTCCCACCTCAACCTCCAAAGTAGCTAGGACTACAGGCACACACCACCACCCGTGGCTTACAGATATTGCTTTAATTTCTGAAAATATTTAACTGAGAAGTCATAGTACCTCATAATAGGCAATTTTAACAGATATATTGATCTGAAGATATCCTTCCATGTAAAGCAATGGTACATGAGTATGATAAGGAGAATGTATGGAATGATATTGTTTCTTAGCAATTAATAATTTATAAAAACATAAACAGTAGGCCTGAGATTATACTTGACTATAATACACCGATATATGAAATTAAAAGTTATATTTCACCTATTAACTAGTTTAAGAATAAGTACTTTCTACAAGTCTAATGTCAAAATCATTTTCATGTATATATATTATACCACTTCTTATTGGAATGGGCTAGAAGGAAGTACTCCATTGCAATAAAATATAACCACAAAGGCTGAGTGGAGTGGCTCACATCTATAATCCCAGCACTTTGGGAGGCCGTGGTGGGTGGATCACGAGGTCAGGAGTTCGAGACCAGCCTGACCAACATGGTGAAACCCCGTCTATACTAAAAATACAAAAATTAACTGGGTGTGGTGGCACACGCCTGTAATACCAGCTACTCAGAAGGGTGAGCCAGAGTCGCTTGAACCTGGAAGCAGAGGTTGCAGTGAGCTGAGATCGTGCCATTGCACTCCAGCCTGGGCGACAGAGCAAGACTCTGTCTTAAAATAAATAAAATAAAATAAAATGAAATAAAATAAAATAAAATATATATATATATAACCACGAAATATGACATTAAGGGTCTTCTGGAATTCTATGGTTGGGGACTCAGGGGATGAGGGTCTGGAATGAGAAGGATACTTAATTTGGTGCTGTTGAATTTTTTTAAAAATCCAGGCTGTGGAATTATAATACATATATTGGTTTTAGTTCACAGTTACTGGCTCCTAACTCCTCGTTTTAATGTCAGGGCACTTTAGGCCTCAGGAAACAGAATCTCTCTCTATGAGCTTCTCCTGTCCTTCACTCATCTGCCTAAGGGAGGATTCTAATCTGACTGTGAGTCAAAAGATCCTCATCCCAGAGAGGATCCTGCCCCATATCCTAGAGGAAGGAATGCTACATAGAAAAGGCCAAGAAAAGTCTGAACAGACAGACCTTGCTGGGTTTACATTATGAGCTATTTGTCCACTCACATTTCTACATGGTTGTCAATCATGCCCATGTAATAAAGACTCCATTAAAAACCCCACAGGACAGAGTTTGGAGAGCTTCCAGAGAGGTGAACACGTGGAGGCTGACAGGAGGGTGAAGAAGACCTCATCCACGTGCCAGGAGGATGGCACAGCCCATCTCCATGGAGACAGAAGCTCCTGTGCCGGACCCCTCCAGACCTCACCCTACCTATCTCTTCATCAGACTGTTTATTTGCATCCTTTAAAATATCTTTCTTAATAAACTAGTAAAAATGTTTCCCTGAGTTCTGTGAGCCACTCTAGCAAATTTATTGAACCCAAGAGGAGGTTGTGAGAACCCCAACTTGAAGCCAGTTGGTCAGAAGTTCCAGAGGCCCAGACTTGCAACTAAGGGAAGGAGGAGATGGTCTTGTGTCACCAAGCCCTCAACCTCTGAGGTATGACACCGTCTCCAGGTAGAGAGTGTCAGAACAGAATTGGAGGACACCAAGCTGGTGTCCACTGCTTGGTGTATGGGGAAAAAAACCCACATCTTTGGTCATGTAAGTCTTCTACTGTGTTGATGATTGCTGTGTTGGTGTGAGAGCAGAGGAATAACATAGTTAGAGAGAGTTTCCAAAACACATGTCTATATCACTTTTTTCATTTAAAAAGTTTTTAAAGTGAAGAAAAAAGTTGCATAAAGGAAAAATTTACATCTTATCTAAGGTGATACACTGAATCAGTCATAAGCCAGAAAATACCTAGAATATGCTAAGACATGTGATAACAGTTTCAATATTAATAGTCATCCTTACATATTTAATCTGCAAACATGCAGTTCTCATACTCACCTGCCAAAATGAAGAACTATATACCGGATGAGATCACCTTGCTTTTCCATTTTGTTGTCTGTGACCATGGGCATCAATTTGTCATAGTACTTGGCAAGGTAAAAATGCCCATCCTCCCATTCTGGCAGGCACGCGGTCACATCCTATAAAAAAGAACATAGGATACCTACCTAAGGAAATCCCACGCTATGCTGGGAAGTAAAATATGAATAGATGATTAGGGATCAAAAGTATGTGACCTTTATCTAGGCAGAGCAAAGTCAAAAGCAGACTCAATCTTTGATGTGGAAAAGGAATAGCTAACTTCTTGTAAAGGTTTTCTCAGGAGGGCTGATTTGTTCTGGTGGGTTGCCCACTGCCCAACATGAAATAGTGCTGGAAGAATTCGCAACTTAGGAGAAAACTCCATTTATGTCACCACTTTAAAAGATACATCAAAGTAGTGTCTGGATGGGTTAAATTTTTTTATACATATATATGATATGTGTGTGTGTGTATATACACATATATCATGAAAGGCATTTTTAAAAATCTTCAAAGCAGAAGTAATATCAAGTCTCTAAAGAGTGTAGGACTTTAAAAAGCATAAAAATTTTGGTAAAATAAAAATCACATATTTTGTTTTTCTCCAAGATCTCTCACAAGTTATTGCCCTTTCTCTCAATTCCTTCAGAAGCAGGCTTCTAAAAAGGATTCTCTACCTCACATTGATTCCTAAAACTATGTCTTTTCAGCTTCAGTCTTCACCACTCCACTAAGGAGCTCCTTAAATCCAAGAGATATTTTACAACTCTGATCTCATTTGAACTCTCTTCAATATGTTTCTGTTGTCCAAGTCACTTATTTCAAATGCTTTCATCCCTTGACTTCTGTGAGGCCACCATCTTCCAAGTTTTCTCCTCTCTTTCTGGCCACTCTCACTTAGTCTCCTTTGTCATTTCTTTTTGCTGTTCCTGCCTTAAATATTTGTGTGGTTTATTAATTTTTAATATTACATGAAATGTGATGGGAAATACACAGGATCACTGACAATTTTTTTTTTAATTGAAGTTCCACTTTTCATCTAAAGAAGTTTGAGAACAGTTTAGACCAGAAACCTTAAGTGAGATCTTGAGTTTCTACTGACTCTAATCTTGAGACTCTACAGACACAAACCTGCCTGGGAATAGAGGACAGAATGATATGATTAGACGTGTGGCACATGCTAGGTTCATGTACCTAATCAGCCACACAGGGTAAGGGCTGCCAGAAAAACATATTAGTCAATCTAGTCTTTCCTTCCTTTCTTCTTTCCTGCCTGTCTTCCTGCCTTCCTTTCTTCCTCCTTCCCTAACTTCCTTCCTCCTCCCTCTCTCATTTCAGCTTAGATTTTAAATATTTATTTTGAAAAGTAAAATTCACATACTGAAAAATACACTAATATTACATTTACAGCTTGATCAATTATCACAAAGTAATTACCTTTATATAAAATCTCCTTCCTCCCTCTCTTCTCTCTCGCTCCCTTTTTAGTTAAGATTTTTAAGTTTTATTTTGAAAAATAAAGTTTATATACAGAAACATATATGAATCTTATGTATACAACTTGATCAATTATTACAAATTTATCATCCTCATACAAGAACTCCAGGAGTTTTTTGTCTGTTTTTGAACTTTTATATAAATAGAATCATACTATAATAATTATTATTATTGGCTGGGCAAGATGGCTTATGCTTGTAATCCCAGCACTTTGGGAGGCCCAGGTGGGCGGATCACGAGGTCAGGAGATTGAGACCATCCTGGCTAACACGGTGAAACCTGGTCTCTACTAAAAATACAAAAAAAAAAAAAAAAAAAAAACAATTAGCCGGGCGGTGGCAGGCGCCTGTAGTCCCAGCTACTCGGGAGGCGGAGGCAGGAGACTGGCCTGAACCTGGGAGGCGGAGCTTGCAATGAGCCAAGATCGCGCAACTGCACTCCAGCCTGAGCGACAGAGCGAGACACCATCTCCAAAAAAATACATATTATTATTAGAGACAAGGTTTTGCCCTGTTGTCCTGGCTGGTGTGCAGTGGCATGCTCATGACTCCCTGCAGCCACAACTCCTAGGCTCAAGGCAATCCTCCCTCCTCAGCCTACGGAGCAGCTGGGACTAGAGGCATGTACCACCACACCCAGCTAATTTTTGTATTTTTTGTAGAGACGGAGATTTGCTATGTTTCCTAGGCTGGCCTTGAACTCCTCAGCTCAAGCAATCCGCCTGCCTCAGCCTCCCAAAGTGCTGGGATTATAGGCATGAGCCACCATGCCCAGCCCTACGTGTATTATATTTTTTATCTGGCTTATTTCATTCAACATTACATTTGTGATATCAATCCAAGTTATTGCATATAAATTTGGTTTACTATATAGTATTCCATTATAAGAATATGCTACAACATATTTATCCATTCTATAACTGATTGCCATTTGGATTACTTCCAATATAAAATCTACAAATAATAATGTTATAAACATTCTTGTGTTTATCCTCTGGGGACATGCTGGGTCATATTCCAGATATGAGCCTCTAATGTATTGCAAATATCTTCTAATCTGTAGGTTGCCTCTAACTCACAATGGTATCTTCTGATAAACAGAAGTTATTGTTTATTTTAGGGTTAGTGTTTTTGTTATGTTTAAGAAGTCCTGACCTAGATTAACAATCTACCTCAAGTTTACTTTTGTTTATGGTGGGAAGAAGGGATCAAGTTTGATTTTTTGTTTTCCTATAAGATACCCAAGTGATACAACAACATTTATTGAAAAGACTATTTTGGTTATTCACAGTTTGCCCCTCCAGATAGATACACTTGCCAACTTTAGCCTTTTCCACTCTGCTCAGTGCCCCAGCAAACTGAAATTGATGATTTATATCAATGGGCCTGTTTGCCCTCTGGCTTCCTGTGAAGTTCAATCAATGGAAGGTAGCAATAGATTAGAGGGTGAGGGGGAGAGTGAGGTTAAGGTCTTTATACCTGCTCGTTTCCTTCCTGCTGGGCTGCAGTTGACAGTGGTGGTGTTTCTTTCCCTAAGGTTAAGTTCTGGTCCAATGGTCCTTTCCTACAAATTTAGCTCCCTGTACAGGTTCCAGTAAATGCCCTATCCTTTTGCTCCTTCAGGTCTAGAGTTAGCAACGACTCTCTGTTGTTGCTAGCCATGGGGTACTTTCACCATCCTTTGTTAATTTCCCTTAATCTAGTTTTTCATTAAACTCTCCCCAATTACCTCTTTTGATTGGGCCAACTATTTTCTCCCTGCACCTGACCTCACACGATACAGTAAAGAGCATCTCAGATAGATTGGAGGTCACTAAGGAGATATGACAACTAATGCTATATGGAATCCTTAATTCTAGACAGAAGAAGAACACTATTGGGAAAACTGGTGAAATGTGGTCTACAGATAGTTAACAGTATTGTTTATCAATATTAATTTCCCACTTCTGATACTCTGGTAGTGTAAGATATTAAAATTAGTGGAAACACGGTAAAGGGTAGATATGGAAATTCCCTATACTACTACTAACTTTTTAGAAGTCAAAGATTATTTCAAATTAAAACTGAAAAAATGAAAGGTGACAGAGAAGCTTCTTGGTTATTCTTGGCCTTTATGTTTCCACATAAGTTTTAAATTCTAATTGTCAATTACCTGTTAGCATTTGATGAGTAATGCATTAAACCTCTAGGTCAGTTTGTAGAGAAATAATTATATTATTGAGTCTTCCCATTCATACATGTATTCTAGCTACCAATTTATTTAGTTCTTTTTTACTTCACTCAATTTTAATGTTTTAATTTTTATTTTGTGGAGAGGTCTTGTGTGCAATTTAATCCTAGGCATTTCATCATTTTTATTGCTATCCTAAATGATATCTTTAAAAATTTTAGGCTGGGCATACATGGTGGCTCACAACTATAATCCCAGCACTTTGGGAGGCAGAGGTGGGAGGATCAGTAGAGGCCAGGGAGTTTGAGACCAGCCTTGGCAGAACAGCAAGACCCTATCTCCACAAAATAAAAAATTAGCTGGGTGTGGTGGCATGTGCCTGTAGTCCCAGCTACTTGAGAGGCTGAGGTGGGAGGATCACTTGAGCCCAGGAGGTTGAGGCTGCAGTGAGCTGTAATCATGCCACTATACTCCAGCCTGGGTTGACAGACCAAGACCCTGTCTCAAAAATAAAATAAAGTAAAATTTTAAATCAACTTTCTTAAGACATATACACCCATGGAACCATCATTCCAGTCAAGAAGATGAACATTCCTAACTCTCGAAAGTTCTTATGGGCGCCCACCCTTGCCGTCACTCTCCTGCCAACTACCCAGGCAAATACTGATATAATTTCTATGCATATACATTAATTATACCTGTTCTAAAATGTCACATAAATGAAATCATATAAGCATATAGTCTTTTATGTCCCTCTTCTTTCATTCAGCATATCTATGACATTAATCTACCTTGTTGCGTGTATCAGTAGTTCATTTCTTCTTACTGTAGGGTAGTATTCCATTATACAACTGTACCAGTTTGTTTACCCATTCTTCTCTGGATGGCCAGCTGGCCTATTTCCAGTTTTTGTGACTAAACCTACTATAAACATTTGTGTACAAGTCTTTTTATTGACATATGTAATTGTTTCTGTTGGATAAACACCTAAGAATGGAATGGAATATGGTAGATTTAACTTTTTATAGTCCCCACCAGGTGCATTTATTGCATTAATAGGTATTGCTAGTCTTTCAGACTTTAGCCATTTTAGTGTGTAATGTGTTATTTCATTGTGGTTTTAATTTGCATCTTCCTAATGACTAATGATGTTAAGCATCTTTTCATTTGCTTTTTGGCCATTTGCGTGTATTCTTTATGAAGTGTCTATCCAAGACTTTTGCAGATCTGTATTTTTTTTCTTTTAATAGACAAAGTTTCACTCTGTAACTCAGGCTGGAATGCAGTGGTGCAATCATAGCTAACTGTAACCTTGAACTCCTAGGCTCAAGTGATCCTCCTGCTTTAGCCTCCCGAATAGCTAAAACTATAGGCATTCGTCACCATACCTGGCTAATTTTTATTTTTGCAGAGACAGGTTCTCACTATATTGCCCAGGCTGGTTTTGAACTCCTAGCTTCAAGTGATCCTCAGGCCTCGGCCTCCCAAAGCACCGGGATTACAGGCCTGAGCCACTGTGCCTAGCCTCACAGATCTTTAAATTGTCTTACTAAGTTGTAGGGTTCTCTATAATTTAGCTACAAATCCTCTGTCATATATGTATTACAAGTATTTTCTCCAAGTCTATGGCTTACCTTTTCATTTTCTTAACTGTCTTTCTTAGAAAAGGTTTTAACTTTGATGAACATCTAATTTATCAGGATTTTTTAAATGCTTAATGCTTTGTGTGACCTAAGAAAACCTTTGCCTACCCTAAGGTTGTAAAGATTTTCTTCTATTTTTTCATCTAAAAATTCATAATTTTAGCTTTTCAGTTTAGATCTATAATCTACTTTTTTGAAGCAATTTTGTCTATCATATGAGGCAGAGGTTGAAGATCATTTTTTTCCTCATACAGATATCCAACTGTTCAAGTACTTTCTGCTTGTAAATGGTATGTTTTAAATTCCTTTCTTGTTGTCATATAGAAATAAAATCATCAGGCAATCTTGTTTAATTCACTCAATATTTTGAATAGTTTATAATCTTTTGAATTTTCTACATATGTATTCATATCATCTGCAATTAATAACTTTCCTATATTTTTTTCCTAGTCCTTGTATCTTTTACTTCTTTTTTTATTTAAAGATTGCCATTTGGGTAATATTTTAAAATGACAGCTCTATTGGGATATAATTAATATATTATAAAGTTCACACTTTTAAAGTTGTTGTTAGTATATTTACAGAGTTGTGTAACCATCACCACTATTTAATTCCAGAACATTTTCATCACTCCAAAAAAAAAATTGTACCAATTAGCAGTCACTTCCCAGCCCCAACCTCAGTCTCTAGTACCCATTAATCTACCTTCTGTCTCTATGGATTTGCTTATTCTGGCCATTTCATGTAAGTGGAATCATGCAATATGTGGCCCCTTGGATCTGCATGTCATTCTACAGTAGTCAGCCTCTATTCTTTTCTCTACTCATTTCTGTCTACATCATGTATAGGCAACCAGAACAAGAGAAGCAGCTACTGAGGCCTTTATGACAGGAAATTAGGGGTGTATGCAGAAGAAACAGAACCTGAAAAGTTGGTAGTCTGACAACATCTCTCTTCCCTAACCCTGGCTTTAGTACCCAGGCAGAGATGGGAGAACTGGAATATTTGCTATCAAATTCTGCTGTTAAGTACTGGTGAGTTTTTGTGTGCCTCATAAGTTGTTGTGTCTTACATACTAGAATAAATTCAGAAGATCTCTCTAACTGGGAAGGTGAAACTTACAAGTATGGTTTCAGAACTTGCCTCATTATCACTGCCCTTTAGGATAATATAGTTTTTAATGCAAATCAAGGTTAGTTTCTTAGGTGGCATGACATCTTCTTGTAACCAAGGAACAGGAGCTGGACTCCTATTTATCTTCATCAGAATGCAACACTTCCTGGATCTAAAGATTAGCACTGTCTGTGCCATTTGCTTTGGCTGTTGGTCCCATTTAGGTCTTTCTTGTATCTTTGATTTCTCTCTCTTCTCATCATGCTCTTATTTTTGTTTATGTTCTTAAACTTATGGAGCCTATATACAATAGCTGTTTTTAAATCCTGTCATTTCTAGAACTATTTCTACTGATTTATTTTTTTTCCTATCTGTGGCTCAAATATTCCTGCTTCTTCATTCACAGAGTAATTTTTTAATGGATGCTGGATATATTTTTACATTGTCAAGTTTTAGATTTTGTTGTCTTGCTTTAAAGAGTGTTAGGCTTTGATCTGGCAGGCAGTAAGGTTACTTGAAGATCAGTGTAATCATCTTAAAGCTTGTTTTACTGCCCTTCTAGTATGGATATAGAGTAGTTTTTAGCCTAGGACTAATTTAGTCCTACTTCTAAGGTGTGGCCCTTTTAAGGTCTTTACTGAATGCTCCATATTATGCAATGAGGCCTCTTAATCTGGCTGGTGGACTGAATAACTCTCAATCCTGTAATCTGAATGAATCTCAATCCCGTGTGAGCTCTGGAAATTGTTCTTATAGCCTCTGCATGTTTATTCTTTCCCCAGCAGTTATTCCTAGCTTGGCCTCATAGAATTCTGAATTATTCATGTGCAGGCTGGTATTCAGCGAACACAATTCCTATGCAGATAGGAACTACTCTGTTTAACTTTTTTCTCTCAGTTAATCTGTCCCACAAATTCTAGCCACCTGCTCTTTGCTTTATTATTTCCTTTCTTCTACTTTTTTATTTCTCTCCCTACTTTTTTAGTTCCTTTTCTAACTCTTTGGGATAGATACTTAACTCGTTAATTTTGAACCTTTATTTTCTTCGAATATATGCAAATAAAAATTTAAATCCCTTTTAAGAATGGCTTTAGCTGCACAGGATATGATATGCCATTTTTATTATCATTCAGTTCAAAGTACTTTTCAATTTCCATTGAAAGTTTTCATTGACCCATGGATTATTGAGAGGTATATCTCTTACAACACCATCTATATAAAGTTTAATACCTAGTAAAGAAGTTATAAATTGGTTTTGCTGAAAAATTTTCAGGCTAGGATGTAGTTAACTTTGAGACAGAGGGTGAGAATAGTGATTACTGGGATGAAGGGTAGTGGGGTTATAGAGCTCAAATAATATTCTATTTCTTGATGTGGTGGCAGTTTCATGAGTATATTTATTTTGTGATAATCCATATACTTATATACTCACTGAAAAGTCAAAAAAATTTCCTGGTTATTTTTATACATGTGCTTTGCCATATAGACTTAAGTCATTTTACGTAGTCAACAGAGTTAACTGAAACTGCATTATACATATACTTGCCTTATATTTTTTCATAATTGCATTGCTTTCAAAGTTAGCTGTTTCTTCCATAAATCGGCCCACTAGTAGCATAGCTCGACCATGGATTAACATGTTCTTACCCTCAGGTGGGGTTTCATTTTCAGGAAAACATAATTCAACACCTTTTTGAAGAACAATTAGTGCCTGGTGAACATCACCCTAAAAGAAAAAAGGCAACAATAAGCCTTTTAATTTAAAAACATACTTCTATTTTCTGCAAAAGTATTAGTTCATTATGTTTTTGTACAAATCCATTTGTAATTTCATGTTTATCTTTTACTTGCCTCTTATTAAAGTAAA